>NC_000013.11:75832348-75983863 GCF_000001405.40 Homo sapiens | reverse complement strand
CAACCCTTTGATGAGTGGCCAGACCGACATAGACCCAGACAGAGAATATTAGTGAAGTTTCTTCATAGATATTTATTCTTCCAATTGATTAAAAGGGGTCACAAACTTGTGTTTCTCAAATTATATTCAGTTTACAGATACATTTTGTTAGGTCCTCTCAGCATGGGTATGCACAGTCTTTTTTAAAAATGAAATGGTTGTCCAAATTTACAAGCCAGTTCTTTTTATATAAAATTTTAGGTTTGTGGATTCTTTTGCAAAAAAATTATAATATCTGACAACACTGTGCCCATGTTCCCACAAGGAAACAATAAGCAGAAGCTGAAAATCCTGCTGCCTATAAACAGAGCACATGCTTCCTGGGTTACCGCACTTTCCATGACTCTCTTGTGTCCTCCCAGTCAGATGCTATTTATTATGGTGTTTATTATGGTTGTTTGTTCTCAGAGCATAATTAAGAAGAAAATGAAGTACTTTGTACACTTCACTCTTTAATACCATCTATAAGAACTCGAGTTCCTAAGTCCTGGCCTTAAAGACAACGTGCTCACTTTGGGAGGCCGAGGCAGGCAGATCACGAGATCAAGAGATTGAGACTATCCTGGCCGACATGGTGAAACCCATCGCTACTAAAAATACAAAAATTAGAGAGGCATGGTGGCGCACGCCTATAGTCCCAGCTACTCAGGAGTCTGAGGCAGGAGAATCGCTTGAACCCAGGAGGCAGAGGTTGCAGTGAGCCAAGATCGCGCCGCTGCACTCCGGCCTGGCAATAGAGCGAGACTCTGTCTCAAAAAATAAAAAATAAAATAAAAATAAAGTGCTATTGCTTTAGCATGGGAGACCCAGCCCTTCATACTCTGACCCAAATGAATGTTATATTCTTGTCTTCCCCCAACTCTCCAGATAGTTTATTCTAAACTCATTTTCTCATTGGACCATAAGTGTTCATTCCTGCATATCTTTACAAGATCCCTTTCTTCTATAGAATCCCATTTTGCTCCTAGCTAAATCCTGCTAACTTTTTCAAATGCCATCCCCTCTCCTCTCTGTGAAGCAATAAATATTTATTAAGTGTCTATGTGCCAAGCACTTTACTAGTTTCTACAGGATACTGAAATAAACAAGGAACATACACACAAGGTGAGGCATCAAAAGAATAATTGTATAAAATGGGTGAGTTTCATCATCGAGGATCTATAGGATACCACGGAAGATGTAACAGTCTGGGACGCAGGGAAGTCTTTCCAGAAGAAATAACAAGCTGATATATGAAAGATGAGAGAGTTTAACTGAGCAAAGAATAATGAGAAGGGAACTAAGTCTATCCTTTTCCCCTGAGGCAAAATGATGTAACTTCACTGTATTTGTTTCTTAGGGTTCCCACAACAAATTACCATGAACCTAGTGGTTTAAAATGATAGAAATGTATCCCCTCATAATTATGGAGGCCATAAGTCAGAAATCAAGGCGTCAGAAGTGTGGGTTCCTTCTAGAGGCTCCGAGGGAGAATTCATTCCATGCGTCTTGTAGCTTCTGGTGGCTGCTGGCAATCCCTGGAGTTCCTTTTCTTGCAGATGCTTCACTCCAGTTTCTACCTCCATCTTCACATCACCTTCTCCTCTTATGTTTTCTTCCCTCCCTTCCTTTCTCTTATAAGAACACTTCTCATTGGATTTACAGTCCATCCTCACCCAGGATGGTCTCCTCTTAAGATTCTTAATTACATCTGTAAAGACTTTTTTCCAAATAAGGTCAGGTGCACTTATTTTTTATTCTTTTTGGCAGCTGCAGGGCTACAGGGAGTGTCACTATTCAGCCCACTATGGGCACATTCAGGGAACCAAAAAAAAAAGAAAGAAAAACAGGCAATATGCTCGAGTACAGTCTGAGTGAGAAACAACAGGCAAGAGAGTTGCATGGAGAGGTTTATAGGGTGTAGAGATTACAGAGGGTCTTATTCAGTAGGAGGTCATTTTCAAGCTTTAATCAGAAACAGCTAAAATTTAAACAGAGGAGTTACATGAATATTTTGCAATTGTGAACGATCTTCCTCCCTGATTTGTAAAGGAAAATTGATGAGTTGCAAGCCAGGAGCATGCTGCACGGGTCATCTAGATGAAAGATGACCTAGATGAAAGACTCTCTCTGGTAACCCACCGCACCTCATACCTACTTCTATTATGTATTTACTGTATTTTCTGGTAATTACTATTTATACTTGTGTTCCTCCCCAAATGAAGCACACTAAAGAGAAAAGATCCATCTTATAGGCCTAGAACCTACCACAGGACTAGAAATATTTAGTACATATTTGTTGAAGGTTAAAATCATTGGGGAGTCACCCATGCCAATCTTTGAATTTAAAATCTAGTGTTACATCTTGAATATACAAATAGGACTACTTGCATCCAAGTTTTGATTGAATACTTGAATTTTTATAATTTTTACTCATATTCATCGTAGACATTTTAAAATGAAAATATACATAATGAAGAAATTTTGAAATCACCATACTAAGCTTCACTTCCCATTCCAGCAGGCATAACCACTAATATTTGCAATATTTCACTCCAGACTTCATAAAAATATTTTGTAAACCTGGGATCATCCTAGATGCATGCTTAATCTCCTACCTTTTACCTATGCTTGAAAATGACTTTTGTGTTTCCATAATATTAACTGCCAACCACATCTAACTTTATCTCTGCTGTAAATTACCCTATGAGATTATGAATAGCTCCAATTACTTCAAGATAAGGGGCTGGAATTTGAATTATTGACTCATTCGTTTTTAAGATTAGCTTTAAGTTTCCTTGAAATTGAAAAACATGTGCATATAATGCAACTTTTTTAGATCCAACTTTCTTCCCTTTGGAATGCTGTGGACATTCCCACATTATCTTTCACCATTGAGTGTTGCTATGTAGAAATTGAAACCAGTTCAATTCTTGCTCCCATTTTTGGGGATTTTTTTAATCCTAAAAAATTATTGCTTATTCTTGAAGTTCAATAGTTGAAACAAAAGTCTTTAAAGTTTTTCTAAATGAAGGTGTAACTGACATGTAGATCCAATTCTTCCTTCATTTCAGGGAATTTACATGTCTAGGAATGTGTTCTTTTTTCCAATTGTAAAGTTTTCTACTTTAGAAATAAGTCGTTTATTTTTACAATGGATATTTGTGTGTCCTCCATTGCCACCATCTTCTGTAATTAACATAATGGTTTTGGCATTTTTCTCTGCATTCACTGTGATTATCTTCAGACATTCCCTACATCAGCCAGTATCCAATTGTCTATTTATTCAACATATATTGTCATTAGTTCCTTGCTTTTTCTATTTTGTTTATGATACTAGTATCAGTTTGGTTCTCATTTTATTTCCTGGGCTCTTTAACATACATTTTCATCCCATTCAATGAACACTTTCATCCAATTTAATAATTTATTGCTTTGCCTTAATAGTCTCATTTTATTGAACTGATTCATGTTATTTTAATTTGGTTGTTTGTTGTTTGTTTAGAGGACTAAACACCTGTTGATAATTTGTTTGTATTTGTGGCCTACTTTTTTCCAAATTCAGTTATATCCTTGAAAATTCTTAAGATTTTGTCTATTTATTTCTTTTTATTTTCCCCCTCTGAAACTGTGTGCCTATTTGAGGGCAGGGTGTAAGAGTTTCCCCCATCTATGCTACAGTCATTTAGATTCACCTCTTTCAAAGCTTAGTATACAAAGCATTGTTTTATTTTTAAATGACAAATAATGAGTATTTTTGTCTGGAAGCACAAAAAAAGAGATGTTGTTATTCAGCCTTATTCCACTATCTTTAACCAGGATCTTTGAAGTAAATTATTTTAAGGCTCTTGATAAATGCTGATAATGTTCCTGAAAAAAAATTTACAGTTTTCACTAAGCAATCATATATGGAAGTTCTTATCTCACTACATTTGTTCTAGCATTAAGCAGTCTTGTCAATATTTTTCAACTTGAATGGTGAAAATAGTATTAATATTCATTATTTACAAGTGAGTTTCAAATTTTTCATACATGTCTTGTTAATACGTCTTCTCCTGGAAGTTACCTACTTGAGATCCCTGAACATTTTTCTGAAGGGATATTTATCCTTCATAATGATTTTTAAAATTATATAATAAGAAATATATTTACATAAATATGTTGTAAATACATTCTCGATTTTTGTCTTTTAAATTACTGTGTTTTTGTATAATTTTCTATAGTCAGGTTATATATCTGTCTTTTCATTATTTTGCTCAAAGTTTTATGTCTGAATGTTTCTCCTCATTGCAGGATCTATTTAATACTTATTTTCCTTTACATTGATAGTTATATATTTTACATTTAACTCAAATCTCACTGGAATTTACTTAATGCATTATATGACATTAGAATCAAAATGTGTTTATCATGCTCCCAACTCGAAATAACTCTATCCCTTTCTCACTTTAATTTTTAGTTTTATCAAAGTGATACAGGCACTTAACCAAACTTCAAATAATTTTTAACATAAAATCTTTACAGCCATCCCCTGCATGCCATCTACTCATTTTACCTTATCCCCATAGGGAATCACTTTCAACCTTTAACGGTTTCTTCTGATATTTGTCTCCATATTTCAAAAATAATGTGCTTATAACTGCTATTACTTGATGTACTCATTTTATTGGCCTCTTATTATAGTAAATGAGAATTTAGCATTTCTGTACTTCCCCAGCTTTGCCCCACCCACACTTCTGCTATCATATTATATGTGCTGGTTAAGCCAATAGTTAGTATGTACATTATTATGACAATGCAGGTGGAGTAGAAATTACTCATTCTCACTAATGAGCACTTGTTCTGCTCTTCTTTTCCACTCTTGTGCAATGTGGTGAGGGTGTATGACTGGTTGAAATGGAAGTGATACACATTACTTCTGAATAGAAGTGTTCAGGAGCTACAGTGGGACCCTCCTGTTCTTCTCTCCACTCTGTCAGTGACTGGGGATATTTCAGATCATACAGTCACAGATTGGTGGAACCTACATCAGGCTGGGATCCTGAGTGACTGTGTGGAGCAAAGCTCCCTGTTGTCCCTAAGGAAACATAGCTGAGCAAGTAATAAACCTTTTCATCTTAATCCATGGGGTTTCGGGGTTAATGTTAGTACTGCATAAACCAGCCACTGTGAATACAGTCTCCCTTATTTATATGCTATCATTTGTTTAAAGCTATAAAGTTTATTCCATTTATTAATTTTCTAATTCTCATACCAAACCACTATGTTAGAATTGTTATAAATGCAGAAAATGTTGACAGGGGTCAGAAACAAGTTTTTTCCCCCCAATTTTCCTAAGCTATGCTTTCATCATACTCTCTCCCACATGTGTACAATAATCATTTTACAAATTTTGAAACCCTTTTATAATTCTTATTAGAATCAATTACAACCATAAAGTATTTAAAAGAATAACATTTTTTCCTATGCAGAAAATCATGTTTCTCCATTTACTTAAATCTTTTTTATCTTTCCTAATAAAACTTTATAGTTTACTTCAATGGCTCCTGCACATTTCTCATCAGAGTTATTTTTAGCTAATTTAAGATTTTTCATTGCTATTGCCATAGAAATGTTTTCTATTTTACCTTTTAACTGAATATTATTTCTAAATGATGTATTGATATTTTATATTATTTTGTGTCTTTCTATTATCTTGCATTCCTTATTGCTGAGAATTTAGTTTATTCTCTTGAAATTTCCAATTACATAGTCATTTTGATTCAAATTCTAATTTGCTTTTTTATTTATAGTAGTTATAGCTCTTACATAAACTGCTTTGTTTTTAGTGGGGATAGTGATATTATGAATTATATTAATAGATGTCCTGATATAAAACTATCATTGCATTTGGGATAAATCTTTTGTAGTGAATGATTTTTAAATGTGCTGTTAAATTCAGTAAATATTATTTACACTATATTGGTTTAATCAGTTCTTTTGTGGATGTGCTATCTTAATCAAATATTTGTTTTATTTAATGAATCAGTCAAGTTTCTATCTTTTTCAATACTCAGCATTAGCTTGTATTTTTGAGGCTTGGTGTTGTTAAGAAACTTGAGTACTCAATTATTAGCAATTAGTATGAAATAGATTTTTTCAGGACCTCTTGTTCTAGAGACAGATAAGAAAATATAATTACATATCTCACAATCAATGTTATACTCATGGTATTAACAGAGCACTGTGGGAGCCAGCCCACCTGGAAAATGGAGGATATTCACCACAGCATCCACAGGTTAAAGTACCGAAGTTCAGCGAACTTCAGTCACAGAGGTAACATCATCCTGCCTGGTAAGAGGCAGTGCAATGACCCAAACTCCTCTGGGCTCATAGATGGGAAGAGGGCCCTCATTGCTGCTCTCCAAATGATATGTCAGCCACTTATTTCTTGATTTGTGATGTTTCCCACTGCTCCTTTCAACTCACACAATCTGCATATGTGACCCTTTCTCCATCAGGCTGTCAACTATGCACTATCCTCTGGTTTACTTCCTGTATTAGCTCTACCCACCCCAACTCCCTTTGCCACTCATGGAAAACTCAACACTCATACAAACAATCCATTAAACCTCTGTCCTGTCTGCTGCTTTTCCTCTTACTGCCGATGAGCTTTCTGCATAATCCACCAGTCACCTAGCTCCATGATGATAACAATGATGCTGATAGTCATTATTTCAGAATTTTCTTCATGGCATTCATTGTTTTCCATGTTATCTAACTTAATTTCACAGCAATATTATCAGGTAGGAACTACCCAACTAACATTAGCCCTATTTTCCATATAATAAATGTAACAGAGAAATTAAGCAGCCTACCCAAGGTTAAAGCAAGTATGTGATAAATCCAAGATATGATGAGACACACCTGTTCAACTCCCTGGGGGAAAAAACCAACACTAGGAGATGTTGAAAATTGCTTCTAAAATTTGACTGTCTATTCATATATTAATATGCAGATTCTGATTGAGAGCATATACTTCTAACAAGCTTCTAGGTGATATCAATACTCCTGGTCCACACATATACTTAAAATTGTTGGTCTAAACTATTTGACTTCAATACATGATATCTGAAAAGCAGAACATAGCTGGAGGAAAATTTTATTACTTAGTACACAGACTACCTTTTGAAATGGTGATCACAAACAACAAATTTCTCTAGTTAGCTTACTATCCCATTAGTTCAAGAATGTTTTGTGTATTCTTTACTAGCTTCAAATTGCCAGACTCTTCCCTGGGTATAATCTAGTTTTAAATTCTAGGAAATGCTCCTCACCCTATCAAATATCAGTGCCAGTGATCCCAATACTTCTAATCATCTCAAAAACTTCAGACCTTCCTTCTATTTTCTACCTCATCATTTTCACCATCCCCAATGGATTGTTCCTATCAATACACAAACCTGATATAATGCTCCCTACCTGTAACACACACATGCTTCTAATTCTATTCTTTTTCTCCCATTACTGCCAAACACCTAAAAATATTAGTCTGCACATGCTGTCTCCACTTTTTCACTTCCCATAGTATGCTTGACTTACAGCTAAATGAATTCTCTACACATTTCTTTATTCTTGCCAAGATCACCAGTGGCTTCCATTTGGCCAATAACATTTTAAATCTTCTCTTATTCAAATTATTCATAAATTTCAAAACAATTGAACATCTTCTTCTTGGCACACTCTCCTCTTTGGATTCACTAGCTATGTGAATGGCATCCCGTCTCTCTCTCCAATTTTTTTTGGTCTTTTTGCAGTCTCCTCCTCTTCTACTAGACCTCCCGCCAAATATAGGGATCTTCAAAGCCTTGGTTCTCTTTATCTCACCATTCTTCTATTTCAATGTCTTTAGATACCATCACCATTGCCATTGACTCCCTTGCCAACATTCTATTCTGAACTCCAAACTCACATAGCTCAGTGCTTATTTCTCCATTTGACTCTGTCATGGCATCTCATATTTAACATGCACAAAATCAAACTTCAGCTTTTCCACTCCCAGTCTGCCCCATTTCATAAAATGTCTCTATTCTCTACCATTGTTAAATCAGAAATCTTGAAGTTATTTTCTTTCCCCGTCACCAGTTCCCTAAACTGATTAATAAATTTCTCATAGTTCTATCCCCAAAATATATCTTGAATCCACTCAGTTTTCTTCATCTTCATTCCACATTTCTTTCCAAAATAATGCCTTCTATCTCCCAAACAGCTTTCTGCCAGTCTTCCTAGTACTATGTCTCCTCAAATCTATTATGTATAAAATAAAACGTTTCTTAAAATGGCAATTAGATGAGGACATTCCCCTGCTTCATCACCTTTATGTTGCACTTAAAATAAAATCCGAATTCCTTACTGAAGCCTACACAGTCCTTCATGACCTGCCCCTTGCCTCCCTCTGTGGCCTCCCTCAGTAATATTCATGTTTTTTGCTTTCTTGAGCCCACCAAGATCACTTTCTTATAAGATCTCTGCACATCGTCCTTGAACTCTCTTGTATTTGGCTAAATTGTTCAGTCTCCTGCTGAACTTGGCTTACATATCACCTCCTTAGACTTTTCCTGAGCATTCTGTATAAGTAGATTTTTCTCATGATCCCCCATCACTGTAACCTATTTGCCTCTTTTAGTCTAATACAATTAGTAATCATACATTTGTACATATGATTCTAAACGTTTCATTATTTCCTAAAAAAAGGACATTCTCTCAGATAAATCAGTACAACTTAACATCAGAAAATGAAAATTACAATAACATTATCTAATGAATAGTCTTTATTCTAAGGTTATCAACTTGGGCACTCAAATCAGTAGGTGAAAGTTCAATGACAAACAGGATATTTACATAGACAATGTATGCCCTACAAAATGCTGTAAAATTATACAGAGAAAAATAGTAACTTTACAGTGGAGAAACTTGGCAGAAATCATCTTAACAACATTATCATCCAAAGTGAAATGAAGCAATGTCATGTGCCCAATGCCTTGAGAAAGACAACATCACTTCTGTGTTATCCCTGTCCCCCACCCCCGACAAATTAAAATGCATAACCTAAGCCTAATCATGAAGAAATATCAGACAAACTCAGTTTCAGGTATATGCTACAAAGCAGATGTATTTGTTAAAAATGTCACAGTCATAAAAAAAAAAGACAAAGGAATTATTTCAATTGAAGGAGAATAAAGAGACATGATAATGAAATGCAATAACTGATCTTCAGTTAGATTCTGGGTCATGGTTGTTTTTATTTCTTAGGTTTATTCTTTTGCTGTCATCTGCCTTCTTGGTCATGATGGTTTTCTGGGGGAGGGGGTAAGGAGTGCATAAACAACCTAAAAGTTTTTAATCTAAAAGGAATTTCGTACACTGAGTATTTGAGAAGATCTCTCATAAATGCTTTCCCAAAAAATGGTGCACTAAAAACATGGAAACAAATTGAAATTTAGATGAGAGGGTGAATGGCAGGTGAATAAAATAATCTTGAAATAACAGCTTAAGCAGTGACAAAAGAAGATTAGAAGGTGTCACTGAAGCCACCTGCCAAAGTCTCATCATCTCTAGATTAGAATGTGAAAGTAATAAGAAAAAATGGAGGTGAATACTGTAGGATGCAATAAGAAAGAAAATCTCAGCCAGCAGGTTCCATAGAAAACAGCAATGCTTTTCATAATAACTCTGGACAGTCAGGAAAATGAAGGAGGCAGATGTCAAAAATCTAACCTGGCCTTGGCCAGTCATAAAACTTGGGTTTAATACCCTGTACTCCCAGTCCCACTCAGGAAATTCCTCAGTTGTGCCCTTTACTGACAATTCCACCATTTAATGCATTCTCTATCCAAGTTGTTGGAAACCAGGAGAGGAGCATGGATTTATGATCTAAATCTTCTGATGACACCTTCACATCAGTGCCTTATTCCTTTTGAGAGTCTTCTCAGTCCTAAAGTTTTCAACTTGTCATTTATAAGTCAAAAATGTACAGACACAGAATTTAAAATTCTGGAATGGAGAAAGGGAATATCAGCACATTTCCTGGAGCTTCCTAGGGTGTCTTTCTTTACATATATTCACAGATAAAGACACACAGGCTCACTCACCTAAATTACATTTAAAAACGCCAAATCTATGGTACTTTTTTTTTTTTTTTTTTTTTTTTTGAGATGGAGTCTTGCTCTGTCGCCCAGGCTGGAGTGCAGTGGTGCGATCTCGGCTCACTGCAAGCTCCACCTCCTGGGTTCACGCCATTCTCCTGCCTCAGCCTCCCGAGTAGCTAGGACTACAGGCGCCTGCCACCATGCCCGGCTAATTTTTTGTATTTTTAGTGGAGACGGAGTTTCACCATGTTAGCCAGGATGGTCTCGATTTCCTGACCTCGTGATCCGCCCACCTCGGCCTCCCAAAGTGCTGGGATTACAGGCGTGAGCCACCCCACCCGGCCTGGTACTTTGCTTACTAAAGGAAGGACAATAGAACAACATTTGCTGAGGTGAATTGAACTGTACATATTTAACATAGTTTGAAATTAAAGTTATTACAATAGCACTTGTTAAACAAGAAATTATCCATAATCAAATTAAGGCACTGGAAGATTCCACTGCTTAGAACTAGAATTTGAAAATAGAGTGAAAGTAGGGAGGAAACAAGACAAAGAAGTTCGATATTTGGAAGTAAGTAAAATTGTTGGATTATTAAGAAACCAATGAATAATTTTAAATTATGTTGACCATAATGTGCTCTCTTCAGAGTCTCTAATATATATATATGGTTATAAAAAATATATATATAGGGTTATATATATAGGGTTATAAAAAGAATTTCTAGAACACTGTCTTAATAAAGAAAATTCCACAAAAACTGAACATTTGTAAAGAAGAAGAAGGTCAATGGTTGCTTAAGTTAAACATAAATATATTATGAGGACAATTCATAAAATAAGAAACTGACAAAGAACTGAAGACAAATGCTGCTCACTGTAGACCATGGGAAGTTGAACTAAGTTAATCAGAACCACACTATACTCGCTGAATTGAACTGAAGTGATTTGATCTGAACACCACAGCAGTTAAGCCATGCTTTAAACTCTGAAGACATGTGAAAACAGTATGGGGGAAAAAGAAAAAAGTGAGCATGCTTACAACAACCAGTGAAAGAGAATACACATTGTGTTAGACTTCTACTGCAATTTCAGGTCACTGCTCTGGATGGCAATTTTCACAATGGAGTATGATAGATGGACATATGTAAGTGTCCAAAAAAGGGCAAAAGCTTTTGTGATGTTAGAACACACCTTAGAAACCAATTTTTAAATAAAGATCTTATTTCAATGAACCTACTTAAGATATCCATTTTTCTCCTAAATAGATTTTAGAAAATAAAACTGCATTATAATTATCAGTTCATCTATTGTACTTGCCAACTAAATGACAGTTTGGCAAAGGGAGAGTCAATGCCTTATTTATTTTGCATCTACAGTTTCCAACACAGTGCTTAGCACATATCAGGTAGGTAGGTATAAAATACATATTTACTGACTCACTTCTTATAAAATTATTATGTACAACATGCCCATAAGTGGGAGAATCTAAATATTTGAAGTTTTTTCCAGCTAGCTGATTTCTGACTAATGAAAAATTTACTACAGTCACAAACATCCCCAGAGCTATATGCAAGAACCGATAAATTAATGTGGCTTTTATACTATGAAGCATAGAGTTGGCAAATAAAATATGAAACCCTAGTCTATCCTATAAATATGCATTTATGAAATTTTTGAAAGGTAAATTATGCAAATATATGTTTAAAAAATTTAACAATTATGGATCATTGATCTGTTAGGTCTTAACAAATTCCTCAAAATCATTAGCATCTATAATGTAAATTCATATTTACAGAGCTAATAAAATGCATGTTAGTCACCCAATAGGAGAAAACTTACCTGTGGTGGTCTCACACATATATTTCCAGATTTATTTTCTTTTAAGAAAAGAAGCAAAAACATATTAGTTTGAAAGCTGAAGCTTCAATATAAGAAGGGTTTTTTTTGGTATCTTATTTTTAATACTTTAAGACTTTTCAATTTGGCTGAGACAATTCAGAGAAATTGGTAGGTTTTCTTAGAATGTAAACAACCAAAGCCAGAATACCTAATATAGCTGCATTGCTATTGAAAAATGCATGACTTTCCTTTTTTTATATATATGGAACTGATGTCTTTAAGATGAACTGGAAGTTATGCAACAGAGTTTGAAGAAACAAATGAAGTAAAAATGACCTTACTGTTACAAATCAACTATAAATTCAAAGTCAAATTTAATGAATATGATTAATTTTACCTCTAATAGTCTATATATGAATGATTTTACCTCTAGTAGTCTATTATTACAGATTAAATTTAGTGATGGTATAATGTTAAGAGACAATTGTCATTCTGTTATCTTATTGAGTTTTTGATAATTAATAATCAAGTAATTATATTGTTTCTTTTTTAAAATTAGATGATATAAAAAGTTTATAATCCATATCAGAACTGCCAAAGGTAGGAGAAGGTTTTGTTTACAGCTTCTTTAATTTGCAGATTATTGGACTCATAAATATAGCATATGAAGTCACTGTATTAAACAAAATGGGATACTTTGCCACATTTCCTTTGGGATATTAGATTTAGCTGTGTAATCTAAAAACTCCCTCTCTGGTTTTCTGTTATCCTCCTAACAACCATGGCAGAACCCCTACCTCCCTCTTGTTCTCAGATAAAAGTATTTACATCCTCTCATAAGGCATATGATCACTTTAAACACTCTCAAAATTCAACAATTTTCTTGGACCCTTAAGTAATTCCTGAGTACCCTGATGTCTACCACAGTGGCTGGTAAATAATTGGTGTCCAGTACGTATTTGTGAAATTAAACTGATAATGAGAAATAATCTGGTTTTAATAGTGGACTATGATTCTTGGTAAGACAGATATATACAAATACGTATCTGAAGAATTCCTCAATTTTCAAACATAGGCAATAGCTATTCCTAGGCTAGACTCACCTGAAAGGACTAATTTACAAAACTACATAAATGTTTTAGAGCATTGTTTAGTATTATTATTAGAATCTCACTGATACTTGACAAATTTTATATGAATTTCAAGCAAGTTTTGGTGATTAAATACTTCCCTAAGTTTCTGTTGATACTATTTCTAATTTTATCTGCAGTGTCCAGCAGTATTATGTACTTAGTTAATGTTCAAAACTACTTGTTTATACACAAATGTCAAGTTGCTAGAGGACTTTCACTGAAGTGAATAGTCAAAATATTTTTTTCATCAGTCAGAATGATTGAGCCAAGAGGTTGACACAGATTATTTTAGGCTTTTTTCCTTTCTTTTTGGAAGATATAATAATTCACTTTACAATGGAAATTCCAAATTACTAAACAAGTCAATCCAAATTATTAAATAAAAAAGAAATGTTTAGTTTTTATTATGTATTATATTCTAACTGTAACCTGGGTAGTAGATCCAATAGATAGAGATATGCTACTTAAGACTTCCAGAAGCAATGGATGAAATGAAAAGTTGATTTTATACAAATCTGTCAGCAATCCTAATTTGAGAGTGAACACATTGAATGTTGACTTTGTGCTTAGCTTCTAGCCAAGGCACATTGCATATGGTATGCCCCAACAAAAGTTCATTAGGTCAAATTTAATTAAAGATATTTGTGGCAAAGGAAGGAGGATTCTATAAAACTTTTTCTCAGGGTCTAATTAATTGTACTAATTTTTTCTGGGTTCATTCAGATTTTTATCTAGTTAGCATTTAAATTGAAAATAAAGAGAAATCCATTAACTCTTCATTTATGAAAAACCTCTCCCTCTCTCTCGTGCACGCGCACACACACACACACACGCACACACACAGTCACCCACAAATATGCTCCTCTTGGTGCTTTATTACTGAACAAAATGAAACATGTCAATTTTTTAAATATATTAAATTTGTTTGGAAATATCACTTAGCTTATATTGTAGAAGAGAGTTGGATTTACTCTATATGGTCTTCTAAATATGTACACCTATCAAAACATTATCTACATGTTTATGTTAAAATTCTTGTGCACTGGGGATTGTGTAACAAAGGATTAATTACTATTCCTCTGTTCCTTCTTTGGTAACCATCACAGATTTCAGAATTTGCTGTGATAGCAAAACAGCATCTAAGAGAAAAAATATATATAATCTATCTTTAATTGTTGATTATTGGTTAAAAAAAAACTCTCAATACTTTTGAAAAGAAATGGTCAATAAGCATCTTAAACATTGGTGTGAAAATGGAAGCAAGAAAATTCCTGTATCAAAATATAGAGGAAATTTGATCAGAATTTTCAGTGTTGATAACATTTTCAAAAATGTTAAATTTAATAGTCAAAATTGAACATTACCTCACTAGTATTTTCCTTTCTGCCATACCCCTCTTGAAGCTTCAATATAAGAAGGATATTTTCACACTTTTAGCAGAGAGAGAGACAGACAGACAGACAGAGAGAAAAATACAATTTTCTTCAAAACATCACATCTTTCCTTCTTCAGTCTCTTTGTCCTCCTCCTCACATGATCAAGCTCATTTCTCAGCTCTTGTAGATTTGATTTCAAAGTCCCCTTGCCTGGCACACTCTGCGCTTCTTCACTACTAACTACACTTGAGGGGCCAGCCGAGCTATAGTAGCATAAGGGAAAGTCATGGGAGCTAAAACAGGCCAATCCTCTGCTGCACATCCTGTTTTTATCTTTCCCAATCTACTCTTTCTATAAACTAGTGTGCAAAAAGGTGGCAATCCTTCTAAGAGAAATATGTTTTCTTTTATTGTTGATGCAATAAACAGCGAAGCAACCCATGTTGAAGCAAACTCCATAGTGTGTGAAATTTCATGAAAAGACAAAGCCATCCAGAGTTTGCAAGACCATACTCAAAGGAGTGCATTGGAGGAGAACCACAACATGAAGTTTTATGCTACCAGTGGAAGAATCAAAATGGAAACAGGCTGAAACATTATTTTGATGGTAATTGACATATAAACTGTTCAATTGCGGCACTAATTTAGTTCAGCATTTTGTTTTTCTGTCGAACTTGGATGTTCTCCAAAACATGGTAAAACAAAACTTGTTCTAAAATAAATTTTGCTGACGTCTGCATATACCCTAGATAACCCTCCAAACAGATTCATAGTGATGTCTGACTTACTCCTATCCTAAATTTGTCTGGATTCAAATGTATTAAATCCAATAGTGTTTTTTCATGATTTCTGTTAGAAATGAGATTTATGCTACTGCAACCAGTGCCAGACAATGCCTTGATCTTGCCCCCACAAAATCTCTACTCTCTCTCTTCATGCTTCCTAAGAGATGTAGAAACACACCACACACAG
Source organism: Homo sapiens (assembly GCF_000001405.40). Classification (NCBI taxonomy): domain Eukaryota; kingdom Metazoa; phylum Chordata; class Mammalia; order Primates; family Hominidae; genus Homo; species Homo sapiens. The sequence goes on along the minus strand of NC_000013.11, from coordinate 75,968,396 downwards.
GCAGTGACCAATGTGAAAAAAATACCATTTTGTCATAACTTGAGTCACAGTCTAATTCCCTAATACAGGCATGTGTCACCTAACAACAGGGATAAATTTGGAGAAATGTGTTGTTGGGTGATTTCATCATTATGCAAACATCAGAATGCACTTACACAACCCTAGATGGTATAGTCTACCTCACCCCTAGGCTATATGGTATAACTTATTGCTCCTAGGCTACAAACCTATAAAGCACGTAACTGTACTGAATACTGTAGGCAATAACAACTTAATGGTAAGTATTCATGTATCTAAACATATCTAAGCATATTAAAGGTACAGTGAAACTACAGTCTTATAACCTTATGGGACCATCATCATATAAGGTGTCCATCATCGACTATAAGGTCATTTTTTGGTGCATGACTGTACAGAGCTTTCTGGTAAAAGATAGTTTAGTGCCGGCAGCCCAGGCCAGAATCTAATGCAGGACCTTTACTTTTTCCTAAGTCTAAATTCAAATCTTTTGGCCAGTCCCATAATAAATGAATTCATGGCGATGATTGTCTAACTCAGGCAAACATCAAGAGAGGAAATTTAAAGAAATAGCCCATCCCCTAAAGTTTTACCAGGCTCAACGTATCCACCTGGCTCCTAGAAGCAATCAAGTTGAAGAGAAGGGGCATAGGCTCATGGTCCTGATCACAGTAAACACAGTTGAACGAAGTCTTAAGCTAGGATCATTCATTCATTCAACAGGTTTTGAGCATCTATTATAGACCAGACACCAATAATAGAGATATAAATTGTCAATTACCTCTATGGAGAAGTGGAGCCAACCTCGGGAAAGTTGAAGCAATGGCCCTTATATCTACGACACACAAGCTACTTTTTCAGTGATGAAGATAACTCATCCACGAATAAGATTTGGACTTATCGTCAAGGAATATACAATCCAATTGGAAAGAAAATAAAAAATACTAAGTAAACATAAGGATGAAGCTGTCATTCCCTTTAATTCAGTCATCCCACTTTTAGATTCTCTCTTAAAGTAATCCAAAACACCAAAACATTTTTAGTGGAACTATTTATTACAGACTTATTGTAATAGTCTTTTACACTTTGATGTATACATTTCCAGTCTTTTGTCTAAACTATGTTTGTATGTATGCATGTATGTGTATAAAAACTGATATTGTATTGTATATTTCACAACCTAATTCCTTTTTCATTTAATAACATATTTAAAAGGTGTTCTCATGTTACCAGATATTCTGTTAAGTGTCCTTTTAATGGCTGCATAGTATTATATCATATAATAAAATATGTACCCTATCACCCAATGTTCTATGTTTAGATTGTTTTAAAATTTTCCTATGATAAATAGCACTAAAATACCTGTTTCTGAGGACAGTGAAATTATTCTGTATGATACTATCATGATGGATACACGTCATTATACATTTATCAAAGCCCATAAAATGCTCATTACCAAAAATGAACCCTAACATTGTTATAAACATTGTGTGACTTTGTGTGATAATGATGTGTCAATGTTGGTTCATTCATTCTAACAAATGTACCCCTCTGGTGTGCGATGTTAACTGTGAGGGAAGTTGTGCATGTCCGGGGGGAGGTGGTATGTGGGAACGCTCTGTACTTTCTGCTCAAATTTGCAGTAAATCTAAAATTTCTCTAAAATATGAAGTCTATTTTTTAAAAATATATAAATTATATGTAATGATGTGTGTGGAAAAAATTTTAGAGTAGAAATACAATATATATAAATATATATTTACATACATGTATATCTCTAGTATATATACATGGTACATTATGTATACATTATATTATGATTACATATAAATCTTCATACAAACCTCTGATAATGAAAGTTCTGGGTAAATAATCATGTTCATATAAAGGCCAATTGCCTTTTAGGAAACTTTTACTACATGATGCTGTGATCCAAATTGTAGGAAAGTATCTTTTTCCTCCCAATCTCACTCAGAATATGTGATGTGGAGACCTTACTTTTAATGTCCAATTCATGGAATAGCTTCCATGCTGTATTAGGAAAAAAACACTGTACTCTGAGTCCAAATCCTTATATTATGTCCCAGCTCTTGCCCAAGCTGCATGACCTTACATCAAGCATTTGACTGCCCTGAACTTCAGTGTTTCTGATTCCAAATCAAAACAAACAAAAAAAAAGAATTCCTGCTCTTCCTGGAGTTATTGTTGTAAGCTTAAAATAAAACTGGGAAATGAAAATGAGGCACAGATAAAACTTTGATGGCATTTATAGTAATAGTTGAAAGAACTGACACACTCCAGAGAGGTAAGACTTCCTTCACCAACTCCTACCTCACCCCAACCAAGAGTAAATTGCTGTGAATAACCTTGCAACATTAATCCCGGGATGATAAACATCCCTAACATTATTGATCCCTGAGATGTAAGCCCCTCCAGGCATTGATCTCTTTTGCCTATCTCTTCCCCATACTAATGCCTGCTTGCTCTTCCATAATCAATTTTCCAAAGTTCCCACTACCAAAACTTCTCCTATGCCACCTAGAATCTCTGTTCCCAAGTAGACAAACTCTCCTTCTCTCTACCATTTTGCCTCCAGTCTTCTCAACTACAATTTATTTTGCACATCTTACATTTTTCAAGGTCAGAGGGCACTCTCTCATTAATGGCACTCTTTCACTCTCCTGTAAAAATCTTGAATTCTTTGAGACTCATGTCATTGAATTGCAGTGCCTCATATAATGGCCTTCATACTGCCAAATCCTGAAGACATTTCTCAGTCCTATCTTACTGATCCTCTCAGTTGTATTCTACACTGGTTACCATGTTCTCATTGAAACTGTTGATTCTCTTGCCTTTGGTAGCATTGCTTCTTCCCCATGTCCTTCACAAGGCTCTGTCCATCTCTGGTTGTGAGCTACATTGTGCCATCCACGGCTTCAAGGCTGTACTTCCCAGAGCTCTATCTTTATTCCACCATGTCTTCTGCACATACTTATTTTGGATTATCTTGCTTACCATCATTGTCTCATCAATATCTAGATGAGGATTTCTCTATTACTAAATTTACGTCTGAACTTCAGGTTGGTAAAGTCATTGTTTGTAGACTCTGTTCAAGTGGATGACTCACAAGATTATCAAAATCAACTTTAAATACCCAAACCCTTTATGTTCCTTGACAAATCCTGCTTCTCTTACTACATTTTTCATTTTAGGAAATGGCAGCATCATCTATCAAAAAACCCAGAAACCTTGATGTCATTCAAGACTTTTCTCTCATTCCACATAATTTCTGCTAATTTTATTGAAATAAAAAATATTATATAGCACTAATTTCCAGGCACTGTACTACGTATTCTAAAAACATTAATTTAATCTTTATAACAGTAATATTATTGTGTCCTTTTTTTTTTTTTTTTTTTTTTTTGAGATGGAGTCTCCCTCTGTCCCCCAGGCTGGAGTGCAGTGGCACGATCTTGGCTCACTGCAAGCTCCACCTCCCGGGTACACACCATTCTCCTGCCTCAGCCTCCCGGGTGGCTGGGACTACAGGTGCCCGCCACCATGCCCAGCTAATTTTTTTTATTTTTAGTAGAGACGGGGTTTCACCGTGTTAGCCAGGATGGTCTCGATCTCCTGACCTCATGATCCGCCCACCTCGGCCTCCCAAAGTGCTGGGATTACAGGCGTGAGGCACCGCGCCCAGCCTATTGTGTCCTTTTTACAGATTAGTAAACTGAGGTACATTGAGGTCAAGGAATTTACTCAAAAGCACACAGAGCCAGGATCCAAACTCAGGCAAACTGGTTCCAGAACCTATGCTCCTGTTTACTACAGTACGCTCCCCTTAAATCCAAACAGCTAGATTAGGTATACTCAATTCTCCACTAAATGATCAATACCAACATATCAAATATAACCTTCCATTCCTTCCTGGTCTGTACTCAATATTTTGTGACCAGAAAATAACATGCCTCCGTATCTTTGCTTATGATGTTCCTGCTACTTAGAGGGCCTTTCTCATTTCTCCCATATCTGTGCACTGCCAACATTTAATTATTCATTAAGTCTTTGCTCAAGGGTTCTCTCAACCAAAATCATTCCTTAACCTCCATGTTGAGATCCAGGATTCTTTCCCACATTCTCATAGTCCCCATGCATACCTCTCTTGTGTTTATTTTACATATTATAATGATATCATCTAATTACTGATAGATCGTAAGATTTTTAAGGACAAAGAGCAAAGTTTTCAAAAAATTTTTATCTTAAATTGTCCAGCATCTCTTTAAGTGTCTAGTACATAAAAGTTTGTATATAGGTCTGGCACAGTGGTGCATGCCTACAATCCCAGGCCAATGTGAAAAGATTGCTTGAGACCAAGAGTTCAAGACTAGTATGGTCAACACAGTGAAACTCCATCTCTGCAAAACAGAAAAAATCAGCTTTACAAAAAAAGGTTGCCTATAGAGAGATCTTAAAATTTAGCTCTGAAATCTTGCAGATGAGTGAAAATTCATTTCTATCATTTACCTACTACATGACCTTGAGCAAGATATTTACTCTCAATAATGCCAGTATCCTGGGAAACTGTTGTTACATATATTTTCCTATGACCACTGTGTTATTGCCAAAAAGACAGGCAGAATGTGAGTGAGCTTCACTCTACTCAGGAGAAAGCAGCCCAAAAGAAGTTAAAAGCATCACCCCACTGTGAACTTCCAAGGCAGATAAGCAGTCGTGCCCACATTCTGCATCTCACTGTGCTATGCCCGTTCTTCTTCACAGGACAAGTCAAATCAGAGATTCATGAAATGCAAACAAGCCCATCTACAAATCAAGTAGACAATGCTGGAAACTGCTGATTCATCTAGGTTGAAAGGCACCGTCAGGCTTGTCAGATGGAAACAGGCTCTTGTGAAAGAGAGGCACATTTGCCTCAAATGGCCATTTCATCTTCCTAGAGTGCCAGTGACTATTTGCAGCAGCTTGTGTTTCTGGAGAACCTGGCTTATAACCAACTGAATGGTTATAGTGGCTGACGACATTTATCTAGGTGTAAGAAATCACTTCTTGGACTTTGAAAAGACTTATACTCCAGAGGATAAGGCCTTCAATCTAAACCATTAACATAAGAATTATTGAGAAAAAAATCTTCAAAACACCAAAGGATATTGAAGAGATATTGAAAATAACACAATAAATCTGCCTTCCCTGGGGTACTAATTAAGTGTCTTTTGGTTGTTGTTAGACAACAGACACTGACTCTGCCTAGAAGAAGTGTAGTGAGAATCTATTGAAAGAATGCCACCATTTCTCAAGATGTTGCAGAAGAAATTGAACAAAAAAGATTTAGGAAAAAAAGGAATTAAGGTACCTCCGGGAATCTCAGTGCAGGATTTCAAGGACAGGTTTATTGCTAGAAAGTTACCACTAAAGTGATTCAGCTCTAATGAATCAGAATCACAAAGCAAAAGCCTCGCTGTTTTTATATTTTCACCTTTTAAAAGAGAATATGTGGCCCAGTTTGTATCAAATCCCCAGTCCTAGCTCAATTAACTGAGGTCAAAGGTCAGGTCACGTATTATAAAAACCATTCCCAAAGAAAGGAGGAAGTGTCAGGAGCTGAAGATCTGAAGATCATCATCTATGACTAAGTTTTCCAGCATTAAAACAAATCACCTCATTTACAACTAATACAATAGGAGAAAAAAAAAGTTCTTATTGAGTTAGGCAACACAAATAATTTTTTTTAATAGGAAAGGCCAGGCGCTGTGGCTCAAGCCTGTAATCCCAGCACTTTGGGAAGCCAATACTGGCGGATCACGAGGTCAGGAGATGGAGACCATCCTGGCCAACATGACAAAACCCCGTCTCCACTAAAAATACAAAAATTAGCTGGGTGTGGTGGCGCATGCCTGTAATCCCAGCCTACTTGGGAGGCTGAGGCAGGAGAATCCCTTGAACCAGGGAGTCAGAGGTGGCAGTGTAGATAAGAAAACATCTTTCTTGGTGCCAGTAAAGTGTGAAGCCTTTCGAAGATAGAAAGAATTCTGAAACTGAAATTTTTTGATACTAGAACTGAAATCAAATGATAGAAAAATATCTCAATGTGGCAGACAATTTTTCTCTGCTTCTTCTCCATGAATGTGGTAGAGACAGCCAGCCACTTACCAAAAATCTTCCCTGCCCTTCCACATTATGGAGCTGCTACAGACAAGCAGGTGCAAAGTCATTTATCAGGAGCACTCACATCTATCTACATGGGGCCTCATCTCTGGTTCTTACCAACAGAGGGGAAGTGGAAATGTGTGTATTGCTCTCTCACAGACATTTATGAAGCAGACAAGCTTTTTCCACGTGCTCTTCCATGTCTGCTGGCTGACTCCAGAGAACGGGCTGAACCAATGGAAGGAGCCAGGGATTCTTAAACACCTCATGGAGAAAAGTCATCACCAGCCAGGAACACTTTCATAAACGAGAAATGAATTTCTACCTGTGTTAAGCCACTAAAATTTGGAGGTCCATTTATCACAGCAGATAGCTTAACCAGCACAGAATTTGCTTTCTTTTTTATTATTATTATTATTATACTTTAAGTTTTAGGGTACATGTGCACAATGTGCCGGTTAGTTACATATGTATACATGTGCCATGCTGGTGTGCTGCACCCATTAACTCATCATTTAGCATTAGGTATATCTCCTAATGCTATCCCTCCCCCTTCCCCCACCCCACAACAGTCCCCAGAGTGTGTTGTTCCCCTTCCTGTGTCCATGTGTTCTCATTGTTCAATTCCCATCTATGAGTGAGAACATGCGGTGTTTGGTTTTTTCATCATTCTCAGTAAACTATCGCAAGGACAAAAAAAACAGAATTTGCTTTCAAAAGAGGTTTGAAAAGCAGCAACACAGCAGATACTGTGCTGGATGACAATCCCTGGATTTAGCAAGGCGTTGGAAGAAAGAGATGAGTTCAGACAAGAATTAGCTGTTTTGGGAGGCAAGGGGCAGGGAAGTTTATAAAATCTGAGTACTGAGTACTTTCAAACCTCCAGTAGGCAGAAGATAACATTTAAAAGGACTTTGAAAAACAAAAACCTGTTAAGACTTTTCAGTTGAACAGAGTTTAGCCTTATGAAAAACAGTTAATTGAGGGTGTTGTCTTGTAATCCTTGCAAGACATTGTAATCATTGCAGACAGGTTCCAGATAGCCACCATTACAATGGGAAAAAGGCTTAAGTACTAAGAATCAAAGAAATAATGGGTATTACAGAATTATATTGAGGAAAGTATTTTGGGAGGTGGGGAGAATTCCTGGCAATGGAATTGTTTAGAAACAAACAAAAGCAGATGCTTGGTCAAAGAAACCACAAGCATATCATCAAACAGCCTTAGACTGTTAGGGCTTTCAAACAGCTTTTGGGAGTTCCCCACCACCACCATTACCCCCACTGCCCAACGAAACTTGAATGACTGGACACTGGCTGGTGCCTTGAGCAAATACAAAGTATAGTATGCTCATCAATATCAATTTTCAAGAGTGCCCATGGGAGATAATAGACAAGAGGATGGTGCTGGTGGTCATGGAGATGAATAAACAAGAGTTCCCCCCAAACTTAAGGGTGAGTACCTAAATCAGGAACTTCCTCTTTTGGCTGAATCCTACCCAACAGGATCCCACCATTGCTACAGAAATTACTGTGTTCACCAGTTCTCCCTTTTCTAAAGTAGGTGCCTGCACTCAGCCACTGTACATGGTATATGTGAGTGCATAGTGTGGTGTTAAGAGATAAGGTAACATCAGGTCTTGGGGAGCCACCTCTGGATCTGATGAAGGTGATTGATATTGTCAAAGCTACTGAATTTTAAGACAGATAAAGGAAGAAAATTGAGAATTGGGATGATCCTCCTGGAGAAGGGAGTAAATCTGCTATATGTAGAAAAAAGGGTACCAATAAGCGTTTGGTAGCCAGAGGGGAAGGCTCTGAAGCAGATGTTTAACTGGCAGGCAAAACATTGTGGTCCCGTGGCAGCCAACATTTCCCTTTTATGTGGCCATGTGACCAGTTTTTATTGATGGATGGGAAAAGAAACAATGCCTGTGATTGCAGGCTGAGGTTTTGAAGAAGCCAATATAGATTCCCAATGTTTACTTTTACTTCAGCCAGCTTGATACAAAAGACCAGCAGTCCCTAGGAGATAGATGAGCCATAAAGTGGAAGGTGCCTGTGTCCCTGGATTCTCACATAGAGGAAAGATGTACAAAAAGCAGGGACATCCACTTAGGCAATTACATAGAGAAAAATCTGCTTCTATTGAGCTAATTGCTGAGATCTAGGAGGTAGATTGTTTATTTACTTGTTTCATCATCTAGAATTTGTGTGATTTATGCTTCGACATAAAAGGAAAAACACACAGATTTACTCTGTTGCCCCAAAAAGCACTCTACAAAAATGACAGAAAAGAGAAAAATAAACACACAAAAAGAAGATGACAGAAGTGAAGAGATGCCAACAAGATTTGGAAAACACCTTAATTAAGAAAGCTGAAGAATTATCATGAAAATCCATGCCATTAAGCATTAAAACAATTCAGGAATTAGAGATGAAAGATGCTTTTGAAGACAGATATGGAAGAAAGATTGAAGACAGAGTTTATTGAAAATCTGTAGAAAGAGCATCGGACACTGTCCAGCTGCCTCTCTTACTTAGGCAGGGACTGTGGGTCAGTCCCAGGGACTCAGGACATACCAGGTGCAGCTGAGAGAGGGATGTCATTCTTCAAACAGATTTTAAAAATGAGATCCCTTCCTGCCACCCAGCCTCCTTCCCCTGACTCAGCTCCGAGGGCCAGCTGGCCAACAAGTCTGTCCCAGTGTACTCTGTCCCCATGCCCGTCAGAAGTTAGAGAGACCCCTCCTGAGGAAACCGCCAGCTGATCAAGTGAGGGTCCTCACACCAACTGGCCATTTTGAATCCCTCAGGGGAATAAATGGTTCCACACAGTCACAAAACAACCCTTAATAAATTCCACCAAATATACAAACAGCTTCCAGTCAGTTTTGAATGCCTCTATCTTAAATAGGAACAGATATCCAAGGTTCCCTGAACCCTTTAGGAAAGCCTCCAATATGAATGAGGAGGACCATGACAAATGAATAGTTATGAGAAGCTCAAAAGAAAAGAAAAAAAATCCAAAGAAAATATTCAGCATATAAAAATTAAATTAAGGTCTTTAGAGAAATGAAAAGATACAGTGCATTTGTGAAAAAAAATACAGGAGATTCTGAAAGAGAACGTTCAGAGAACAAAAAAGAGTTCTTGGATATGAACAAAGAGATGGCAGAAATAAAGAATTCAATGGCAGACTTAGAAAATAAAGTTGAGGGGAACATCCCAGAAAGTAAAACAAGGAAACAGAGGTGGGAAATGGAAGACAGAAGATCGGAAAATTAAAGAATCACTAGGAGACCTATCACGTAATCTACAGGTGTTCCAGAGAGACCAGAGAGAACCATGGGGAGAAAGTTGTAAGGTACATAATAAGTTTCTAAGAACTGAAGAGAATGAATGACCAGATTGAACAGGTACAATAAAAAAAACTAAATAAATAAACCTTTAAAAAGCACCCTGTAGCACTCTGGGGATAAAGAGATCTTGAAAGCTTTGAGAGAGGAAAAAAACAATGCTTGCAAACAAGAAGCAGATGACAATAGGACAGTGAAAAGACTGCAAAGAAATGCTTTCAAAATTCTGAGACAAATGCATTTCAGCCTAGACTTCTGAAATTAATCAATCAATTCAGAATGAGGGGTGAATACAGTCATTGTCAGATATGCGGAACTCAATGTTTTCCTCCACCCATTTTTTTTTTCCACCAGGGCCCTATTGAGGAATATTTCCTAGCAAAATGAGGGATTAGGCCAAGGAAAAGAAGATGTAGGCTAACGGGCATAAATGATCCAACACAAGAGATAATAAAGAAGAAAGTTAAAATATTAAAAGGCAATAAATAATCCTACAGAACTATCAACTTAACAGCCTCTAATAAAAATACTAGAAGTCAGACCTTCTAAAGTTGGTATATAAAGCTAGATGACAAGAGTGCTAGAAGTAAACAAAAATTTTTTAAGAGTTGGAAAGGATTTCTGATATCTTCTACTTTTTCATTTTATATGTAAGATTCAAAGAAGTCAAGTCACCTACTTTCTTGGCAGATATATTTCGTTTGCTCAGAAACCACTGCAGAGAAACTTAGATGCACATAATTAAGGAAGGAATAAGAGCTGCAGTCTGGAATGGAGAAAAACTTCTTTTTTATTATTATTATTATACTTTAAGTTTTAGGGTACATGTGCACAATATGCAGGTTAGTTACATATGTATACATGTGCCATGCTGGTGTGCTGCACCCATTAACTCGTCATTTAGCATTAGGTATATCTCCTAATGCTATCCCTCCCCCCTCCACCCACCCCACAACAGTCCCCAGAGTGTGATGTTTCCCTTCCTGTGTCCATGTGTTCTCATTGTTCAATTCCCATCTATGAGTGAGAACATGCGGTGTTTGGTTTTTTGTTCTTGTGATGGTTTACTGAGAATGATGATTTCCAATTTCATCCATGTCCCTACAAAGGATGTGAACTTATCATTTTTTATGGCTGCATAGTATTCTATGGTATATATGTGCAACATTTTCTTAATCCAGTCTATCATTGTTGGACATTTGGGTTGGTTCCAAGTCTTTGCTATTGTGAGTAGTGCCGCAATAAACATACGTGTGCATGTGTCTTTATAGCAGCATGATTTATAATCCTTTGGGTATATACCCAGTAATGGGATGGCTGGGTCAAATGGTATTTCTACTTCTAGATCCCTGAGGAATCACCACACTGACTTCCACAATGGTTGAACTAGTTTACAGTCCCACCACCAGTGTAAAAGTGTTCCTATTTCTCCACATCCTCTCCAGCACCTGTTGTTTCCTGACTTTTTAATGATAGCCATTCTAACTGGTGTGAGATGGTATCTCATTGTGGTTTTGATTTGCATTTCTCTGATGGCCAGTGATGATGAGCATTTTTTCATGTGTCTTTTGGCTGCATAAATGTCTTCTTTTGAGAAGTGTCTGTTCATGTCCTTTGCCCAATTTTTGATGGGGTTGTTTGTTTTTTTCTTGTAAATTTGTTTGAGTTCATTGTAGATTCTGGATATTAGCCCTTTGTCAGATGAGTAGGTGGCAAAAATTTTCTCCCATTTTGTAGGTTGCCTGTTCACTGTGATGGTAGTTTCTTTTGCTGTGCAGAAGCTCTTTAGTTTAATTAGATCCCATTTGTCAATTTTGGCTTTTGTTGCCATTGCTTTTGGTGTTTTAGACATGAAGTCCTTGCCCATGCCTATGTCCTGAATGGTAATGCCTAGGTTTTCTTCTAGGGTTTTTATGGTTTTAGGTCTAACGTTTAAGTCTTTAATCCATCTTGAATTAATTTTTGTATAAGGTGTAAGGAAGGGATCCAGTTTCAGCTTTCTACATATGGCTAGCCAGTTTTCCCAGCACCATTTATTAAATAGGCAATCCTTTCCCCATTGCTTGTTTTTGTCAGGTTTGTCAAAGATCAGATAGTTGTAGATATGCGGCATTATTTCTGAGGGCTCTGTTCTGTTCTATTGATCTATATCTCTGTTTTGGTAGCAGTACCATACTGTTTTGGTTACTGTAGCCTTGTAGTATAGTTTGAAGTCAGGTAGTGTGATGCCTCCAGCTTTGTTCTTTTGGCTTAGGATTGACTTGGTGATGCGGGCTCTTTTTTGGTTCCGTATGAACTTTAAAGTAGTTTTTTCCAATTCTGTGAAGAAAGTCATTGGTAGCTTGATGGGGATGGCATTGAATCTGTAAATTACCTTGGGCAGTATGGCCATTTTCACGATATTGATTCTTTCTACCCATGAGCATGGAATTTTCTTCCATTTGTTTGTATCCTCTTTTATTTCATTGAGCAATGGTTTGTATTTCTCCTTGAAGAGTTCCTTCACATCCCTTGTAAGTTGGATTCCTAAGCATTTTATTCTCTTTGAAGCAATTGTGAATGGGAGTTCACTCATGATTTGGCTCTCTGTCTGTTATTGGTGTATAAGAATGCTTGTGATTTTTGTACATTGATTTTGTATCCTGAGACTTTGCTGAAGTTGCTTATCAGCTTAAGGGGATTTTGGGCTGAGACAATGGGGTTTTCTAGATATACAATCATGTCTTCTGCAAACAGGGACAATTTGACTTCCTCTTTTCCTAATTGAATACACTTTATTTCTTTCTCCTGCCTAATTGCCCTGGCCAGAACTTCCAACACTATGTTGAATAGGAGTGGTGAGACAGGGCATCCCTGTCTTGTGCCAGTTTTCAAAGGGAATGCTTCCAGTTTTTGCCCATTCAGTATGATATTGGCTGTGGGTTTGTCATAGATAGCTCTTATTATTTTGATATATGTCCCATCAATACCTAATTTATTGAGAGTTTTTAGCATGAAGGGTTGTTGAATTTTGTCAAAGGCCTTTTCTGCATCTATTGAGATAATCCTGTGGTTTTTGTCTTTGGTTCTGTTTATATGCTGGATTACATTGATTGATTTGCATATATTGAACCAGCCTTGCATCCCAGGGATGAAGTCCACTCGATCATGGTGGATAAGCTTTTTGATGTGCTGCTGGATTCGGTTTGCCAGTATTTTATTGAGGATTTTTGCATCAATGTTCATCAAGGATATTGGTCTAAAATTCTCTTTTTTTGTTGTGTCTCTGCCCGGCTTTGGTATCAGGATGATGCTGGCCTCATAAAATGAGTTAGGGAGGATGCTCTCTTTTTCTATTGATTGGAATAGTTTCAGAAGGAATGGTACCAGTTCCTCCTTGTACCTCTGGTAGAATTCGGCTGTGAATCCATCTGGTCCTGGACTCTTTTTGGTTGGTAAGCTATTGATTATTGCCACAATTTCAGATCCTGTTATTGGTCTATTCAGAGATTCAACTTCTTCCTGGTTTAGTCTTGGGAGGGTGTATGTGTCGAGGAATTTATCCATTTCTTCTACATTTTCTAGTTTATTTGCATAGAGGATTTTGTAGTATTCTCTGATGGTAGTTTGTATTTCTGTGGGATCGGTGTTGATATGCCCTTTATCATTTTTTATTGCTTCTATTTGATTCTTCTCTCTTTTCTTCCTTATTAGTCTCGCTAGTGGTCTATCAATTTTGTTGATCCTTTCAAAAAACCAGCTCCTGGATTCATTAATTTTTTGAAGGGTTTTTTGTGTCTCTATTTCCTTCAGTTATGCTCTGATTTTAGTTATTTCTTGCCTTCTGCTAGCTTTTGAATGTGTTTGCTCTTGCTTTTCTAGTTCTTTTAATTGTGATGTTAGGGTGTCAATTTTGGATCTTTCCTGCTTTCTCTTGTGGGCATTTAGTGCTATAAATTTCCCTCTACACACTGATTTGAATGCAGAAGCCTCAGGACCCAATGCGATCAACTGGAAGAAAGGGTATCATTGATGGAAGATGAAATGAATGAAATGAAGCGAGAAGGGAAGTTTAGAGAAAAAGGAATAAAAAGAAATGAACAAAGCCTCCAAGAAATATGGGACTATGTGAAAAGACCAAATCTGTGTCTGATTGGTATACCTGAAAGTGATGGGGAGGAATGGAACCAAGTTGGGAAACATTCTGCAGGATATTATCCAGGAGAACTTCCCCAATCTAGCAAGGCAGGCCAACTTTCAGATTCAGGAAACACAGAGAACACCACAAAGATACTCCTCGAGAAGAACAACTCCAAGACACATAATTGTCAGATTCACCAAAGTTGAAATGAAGGAAAAAATGTTAAGGGCAGCCAGAGAGAAAGGTCGGGTTACCCACAAAGGGAAGCCCATCAGACTAACAGTGGATCTGTCAGCAGAAACTCTACAAGCCAGAAGAGTGTGGGGGCCAATATTCAACATTCTTAAAGAAAAGAATTTTCAACCCAGAATTTCATATCCAGCCAAACTACTAAGCTAAGTGAAGGAGAAATAAAATACTTTACAGACAAGCAAATGCTGAGAGATTTTGTCACCACCAGGCCTGCCCTAAAAGAGCTCCTGAAGGAAGCGCTAAACATGGAAAGGCACAACCGGTACCAGCCGCTGCAAAATCATGCCAAAATGTAAAGACCATCGAGACTAGGAAGAAACTGCATCAACTAATGAGCAAAATAACCAGCTAACATCATAATGACAGGATCAAATTCACACATAACAAGATTAACTTTAAATGTAAATGGACTAAATGCTCCAATTAAAAGACACAGACTGGCAAATTGGATAAAGTGTCAAGACCCACCAGTGTGCTGTATTCAGGAAACCCATCTCACGTGCAGAGACACACATAGGCTCAAAATAAAAGGATGGAGGAAGATCTACCAAGCAAATGGAAAACAAAAAAAGGCAGGGGTTGTAATCCTAGTCTCTGATAAAACAGACTTTAAACAAACAGAGAAAAACTTCTTAAAGCATGCCTTCCTCCCCTTTTTTCACAGAACAGTTTGGCTCTGGGCCAAATCCAATTCCCATTTGCAGTTTATTCCTGCCCGTTTACTCTGGCATCAGATGATTTGTTTTTAGCTAAACCACTGTATAATCACATTGCTTTTATTGTATAGCTTTTGCAGCAGTAGCTATAAATTTTGGGCAAATTTGTGTTGTCCTTTCAAAAATAGTAATTGGCTTCTCTCAATTTACAATGCATTCTATTTTTATCCTGATGAATTTTATCACCCATAACATAAATGCAGCTTTGGAGAGAATGCAAAGATTTCCTGCAGACCAATAAACCCTTTCATCTGGCTATTGTTTGTGATTGTTGAACATGTGCTGCATAAATCTACTTCTTAGGAGAGTCACAATCCCCACTATTTTAATTTTAAAACTGATATTTTACTCATTTTTTCCATCCTACCTGGATTACTGTTTTCATGAATCTTTCTCCTCACAAAAGTACTGGGGCTTAATGAGAAGATTCTATCCTGGACTCTGACATTATATGTATGGGACACTTTCTTATATACTGCTGGCCAGATGGATTATTTCATCTTTTATTAATAAATTTCATATTTCACCTGCTCAGAAAGACCTATTCAAAAAATAGGCAAGGTGACTCTGAATGTCTTGCTATGTCCTTCTTTGAAGCTCTTAAACTTTCATTTAACACTTTCACTAAATTTATCTTTTCAAGTTAAAAATGTGCTTTGAAAGGATATAAGAAGATTATGCCCCATATTATGATATTTTAGTAATCTTTATGAGACAAGCATATGATTTATTAACATCTTTTAATTTCACACTTATTTTTAAAAGATAGTTTTCTACTATTGCTTAGTTCTTTAAAGATAACTGACTGGTATTTAAAGGGAAGCATCACTTTTGGAATCAGAAGATGATGACAAAGACTTAAGGATATAATCCTCAAGCTGAAGCAGAAATAATGTCAAACTAAATTAACATAATCCCTCACATTTCTGTAGGGATGTATAGTTTTCAAAGCATTTTCAGATATATTATTGTATTTGATATTCACAACCACCTTGTCAAGTAGAAAGAAGTGAGATCAATATCTGCATTTTGCAAATGGAAAAAACAGAGACTTAAGTTACCTGCCTCAACCAAAACTACACAAGGAATAAGTGACAGAGCAGGGCTTTGAAGTCTAATCCCTTGATTTTACATTCATGTATGAGTGTGTTGAGGTGAAACAGAACTCTTAAGTAGAAGTCTGCAGGAGCTTATTTATAAAATGCCATTAAAAATCTTTGTAAATCTACATAAGATCGTTAAACTTTTCACCACTTGACAAAGGTAAAGATGTCTTATAAGAAACATGTCACTAAGGGATACATCTATTGTCTACAATAAAGGTGACACAATTATACTTCAAACAATTTCCTTATAAATATAAAAATCTTTCAAAACATGAGTATTTTTATTCAAAAATAGCTTTTTCATTGGTTTTGCATAATTAATTGGTTTTATTTTTGCAAATTCTGATTGACTTATTCACCTGTAAAATTGTAAACATTTTGCATTTTTCTAATCATAATGAAGATACCGTTACTTTGTTTTTACTTATTATATTGTACATATTTTTCAAGCTATTATTGTACTATTGTAAACATTATAATGACCATATTTGTAAACGAAGTCTTTTCCGTTTTTTGAAAACCATCTAAATAGGACCAGTGGTTAAAAAAGTATGAATATTTAAAGGCTCATGATACAGATTTTCATGATGCTTTTCAAAAATTATAAAATTTAAATATTCATTAGCAGTGTGGGATCCCACCTCTTTCACCACACTCCATGCTTTCAATTGCTCAGGCCAAAAACCTCAAAGGCACTCTTGACTTCTCTCATCCACAAATCCTATTGAACTGCCTTCAAAATATCAAAATGTTTCCAGAATCTGATTCTCACTCAACACCTTTATCTGACCTCTCTTCAGATTTCTCTGCTTCCACCTGTCCACCTCTTAGAGTCTATTCTCATTTCATCTGCTGTCCACTGAGCTGACAGAATGTGTAGGGAAATTGAATCAAAAAGACCAACTCTGAGGCTATGGTAATAATTCAGGTGGGAGATGATGATGGCTACAGATCAAGGCGATGGTACTAGGGGTGGTGATTAGTAGTTAGCAATGAATATGCTGAATATATTCTCAAAGTAGAGCCAAAATAATGTTCTAATGGATGAAGATGAGATGTGAGAGAAAGGTATGTGTTCAAAATGTACATTTGGGAGTCGTTGACATATAGAGAGTACTTAAGGCCATGAAATGGCTGAGATCAAGAAAGTAATTATTAATAAAGAAGAGAATCATGAACTAAGTCTCAGGGGTCTTTATTATTAGGGTGGAGGGAAAGAGAAGGAATCAGCAAAGGAGCCTGAGGAAGAGCCATCAAAAAGATAAGAAAACAACCAGGTGAGTACGGTGTCCTGGAAGTCAAGTGAAGAGGAGTAAATGATCAACTGTTAACAAATCCTGCTGAAAGGCCAAGTAATACGAAGCTGAGAATTCAGCAGTGAATTAAATAATATGACCTTAAGGCCTCGACAAGAGCAACTTTAATAGAGTGATTGAGAAAAATGCAAGGCCTGATTGAGATAAATCCAAGTCAGAAGGGAAGAGAGAATATGGAGTCAACGAGCAGAAACAAAGCTTTTTTGTTGTTTTGCTTTGTTTGTTTTTCAGACAGAGTTTCACTCTTGTTGCCCAGGCTGGAGTGCAATGGTGTGATCTCAGCTCACTGCAACCTCCACCTCCTGCAATCAAGCAATTCTCATGCCTCAGCCTCCGGAGTAGCTGGGATTAGAGGCATCTAATGCCACCATGCCCAGCTAATTTTGTATTTTTAGTAGTGACAGGGTTTCTCTATGTTGGTCAGGCTGGTCTTGAACTCCCGACCTCAGGTGATCCACCCGCCTTGGCCTCCCAAAGTGCTGATATTACAAGCATGAGCCGCCGTGCCTGGCTGGAACAGAGACAAAGTTTTTATAGAATTGTGCTGCAAAGCAGAGAACTAATGGACTGGGGAGGGAAGAGAAGTTGAAGGAAGGTGGTTTTATAAAATTTTTTAATGAAAGAAACACCAGCATATTAATGAGTATGACCCAGTTGTGTGAGTAAAAAGATTGATTTTTGTGGGATGGAAGGAGTGATGAAAAATGGGATCCAGTCAATAATGTAGACAGATTGGCTTTGGATTTAGATTGGAGCATTACAGTTTACCTCTGGTTACAGGCAAGAATGCAAGATGTGGCAGATACTGGTGGTGTATAGTTGGATGCAAAAGTCTATGGAGGGTCTCTTCTGATTTTCGAATCATTTTAGTAAAGTAGAAAGCAAGGAGGGAAAGATAGGGGAAATGTGTTTCAAGTTTAAGGCAAAACAAGAAGACAGTAAATCATCTAGGAGAGAAGGAGGGTGAATGATAACTCCTGGGAGTGTAAAGCCTCTTACAAATGCCTGGTAACACTGAGTGCATTTGAGGTTCATTATCACTGATTTAAAATCAGACTAGCCCAATAAACCCTCTTACAAATGCCTGGTGACATTGAGTGCATTTGAGATTCATTCTTACTAATTTAAAGTCAGACCAGTCCAGGAAGATGCGTTTTTCCCTCCAGCTACATTTAGTTGCACGAGTGCAGGTGTGGAATGCAAAAAGTTGAACTGAATCAAGGTTGTGATTTTGCCAAGCAACCACAGAGGAAAGTAAAAAAGAAGGGCAAGAGACTTTCAGCTGTAGTCAACTAAGTGATTATAATGACTGACCATAGGATTTCACCAAACTAACAAGTAGGGAGAGGGTATCAGGGGATAAGGAACAAGGAAAGATTGAGATCAATGAACTGGAGGTCCTGGCAGGATCAAAGGATCATTGAAGTTGGGGTTCTCGATGAAGTAAATTGGGAAAATAAGAGATCATAATCAGTGAGATGCATGCAATCGAGTTTGTGGGACAGTTGTAGTTATTTGGCAATAACAAGATCTTGATCACATCTAGCATCTGATCAAAACCCTCCAGTGGCTTGCCTTTGCAAATAAAGTAAAAGCTATGGCTGGGCAATGGCTTCAAGACATTCCCGTCATCCTGCTTCTCATTGTTTGCCCCTGCACCTCACCTCACTGCCTTTCCCACTTCATCTCTTAATACTCCCTATAATTCATTCCACTCCAGCCACTCTGACCTCTGTGATGCTCCTTGAGACACATTCCTACCTTGAGATCTTTATGATTGCCCAGATTCCCCATGGCTTCTTCCCTCCCATCTTTCAAATGCCCAAGTGTCACTGTTTCAGTAACTTCCCTGACCACCCTAATTAAGTTTATAACTCAACCCAGGCCCTAAATTTCCCTGTCCACCTTCCCTGCTTTCTTTGCTCTGTATCACTTACTGCCTTCCAATAATACTACACTATATACTTAGTTATTACCCATCTTTCTCCCACTGGAATATGAATTCCATGAAGACAGTTTTTTTGTTTATTTTAATTACAACTCTTTTCTCAGCACCTAGCATAGAGTAGGGACTCAATACATATTGAATAAATGAATTGCTTTTATTCATTCTTATTACCTAATCTTTGCCTTCTTAATAGGTATAAATGTCATTGTGTTCTTATAATTTTCAGCAGATTTTCAAGAATTGCCTGTATATTATTTGGATTTGAAAAAAAATGCCACTTAGGAAAAAACCCGTCTTAGGGCTTATAAATTGTAAAAATAACTCATAGGAAGATACCACATAATATAGATGCAGAGATATAGTATAGATTAATATCAATTATTATGAAACACTCCCAAGGAGATGAGTTCCATTCAAAAGGGTAGTTGCAGTGAATTTTGGAGTCATTTTGATATACTAATCTTATAACTGAAATCTAAAATGTGTGTTGATAGTATGGGCTTCCTGTAAAAATTTAGTATGTTGCTCTGAGACTTCAAAGAAATATTGATTTTTGAGCTGATACTGGACAAAAAAGCACAAAGTTATAACAAAGTATATACTTCCAATTAAGAATAAGCAAACATAGGTGAAACCTTTTTCCTTCATATTACAGATATCTTTGTTATCTGTAGCCAGTGTGCACATTTCTGTGTTCCAGTGATAACCTGTGCCACCAAAAGTCAATTTATGCGATAATTATCTCACTATAGCTGATACTGGAGAAGGTCATCTTGAAAACTAAATTTGAGAGGAAATAAATGTATTATCAAAATAAGTTTAGATCCAAAAGACAAAAATCCTATATACAAATACTGTAATCTAGTTAGTAAATGTGTTTCTCACAGAGGCATAAATCAGCAACTGAAACTACTTTATATGTATACTAGGTTTGAATAAATCAGTAAGTATATTATCAGCACTGCTAGTCAAATTTCTTACAGTGAAGGAAGTTACAAAGAAAAGGAAAAAGGACTCAATTTTGTTGGATTGCAATGAGAGGTAATGGTATAAACATGAATTTCAATACATGCACAGACAGATACAGAACTAAATACAGATGCATGTGTATGTATGACTTAGTATACATATATATATATATATATATATATATATATATATATATATATATTTCCTAGTTTCGCCCACTGAAAGGACAAAGAAGCAATAATATCTTAACAGCAACAAATGTACCTGGCCCTCAGATCTTGGTTTCCAAACTCCATTCTCTAATAAAGGAAATCAGGACCTTTTAGAGAAGTGGTTGATCCCAGGACTGACGCAGAGAAAATACAGTCGATTCTAGACACAGGGAGCAATCTCAAGGGGCTCCTAATAGTCAAAATAGAGAAATTGGAGCAGCAAAATAACGTTGTACTAAGACCCACAGAATAAAATACATATCCATAAATGCATATTTATTAAAAATTGAATACATAAATAAGTAGGAGAGAGTATACGTCTCTTCACTACTTCACATCCAGCCACTGTCACTTTCTCTCTCTTGAGGCAGCAAGCACTACCTTCAGGTACTCTCATCCCCCAGCACTTCCTAAAAGTCTTCCACAGTGTCTGGAGAATGAACAGAAAAATCCAATAGAGCCCTGCCCCC
Organism: Homo sapiens; assembly: GCF_000001405.40. Classification (NCBI taxonomy): domain Eukaryota; kingdom Metazoa; phylum Chordata; class Mammalia; order Primates; family Hominidae; genus Homo; species Homo sapiens. The sequence goes on along the minus strand of NC_000013.11, from coordinate 75,947,746 downwards.
AGTAGGCTGCCTTCTCTCCTTAGGAAGGTTGCTAGCTCTGCATCCCCAGTCATATCAAGCCGTCCAGGGAACTACAGGCAGGTTTTATCAATTTCTTTTTATCCTATCCAAGCAGCATGCATAGCATTTAGGGAGCTCACCCATAATGTGGACTGGACAGATTAAGTTAGAGAAAAGGAAGAGAGGAAACTCACACTCTTACTGCTAACTATTCGCAAGTTACCACTCTCCTTTGTGCAATTATTTTTCTTCCAAGGCCAGAAAATTGCTCTAGCCTCCATTTGATTTTCTCTTATGCTTCCCTGTATTCTCATCTGATCCACTGGTCACTGAAGAATGATACTTTTCCATCGTCACAGTCATCCTATAGCAAAATCAAGGATTGCCCTTATTCAAACCCTCCCTCCATGCCCCTCCCAGCCAAGGACCAAACTTCCACAGCTTCAGATTCACACAGAGGTATTCTCCATCCAGATCTTTTCTGAAGGAGCTGTCATTAGAACAGCATGTACCTCAGAGTGCATAACAGCTGTGGCACATAATTTACCAGAACAGACACAGAAAACAACTGTGGAGTGTCCAATCGGTGGGTTAATGGTACAAAGACAGATGGCTGTGAACTGACTAATGAGCTTCAAGAAGTACAGGGAGTCTGAGCTGCAGGCCCAAAACTCCAAGAAGGCCGAAGGGTTGAAAATGAGGCTTTTTTGCTTGTGCTACAAAGAGTCACAAGCTGATCACTGGAAGCAGAAAATCACCATTCCACAAGAATACAGATTTTAGTGAGCATCTGAATGGCTGGCATTAACCCACCCCCAGAGCAACAGCCAGCAGTAACAGATTGTCCCCATAGCCAGCCAAGATTTCCAGCCAAACGTGAGAATCAGAGAGGCTCATTTCTCATATTTTCTCTAATTGGACAGGATATTAAAACACTTCAGCAATGTCTTTGAAGAACAGTCATTGTTATTTTTAATTTTCATTGCACCCAATGCCCTGTCAAGCATTGTAAAATTATTCTGTCTTGGAGGGAACTGCTTTAGAACACTTTTCCTTTTCCCTATGCGGGTTAAATATATTGCCCAAGGTTACAGAGCACACCATCTCTGGAAGCAGGATTAAAGTGGTTCACTCTTGAACTCTTGGTCCACTGCATTACATTTAACACCAAGTCCATGCTTTTCCAAGAAAAGAAGCATTGAACTTATTCCAAAATTCAATATAGCATTTTTAAAGAGTTAGCCATAGTTAGTGTAACATACCAAACAGCTACATTTTCTGACAGTCACATTTCTCTAAGGTTCTTCATAAAATCATTAGTCTAAAAAGTTTCAGCTTCCTGCTGAATTTGAATAAAATGCTACGCAGAAATTCTAAAATGCAATGGTGCTTTGGATTCTTGGCAGCTGGCTCTTTTGCCTATTACCTAGTGTCTACCCACCGGATGGGAACTGGGATGAATTTACCCCACCCATCAGTCATGTCATAAAGGCATCTGGTCTTCAAGAGTGTAAAGGGATTTGAGTCTTCACTTTATGCTTCTTCAACCATGTTGTACAGAGGTAGGCAGATGGTCTTTTACAGCAAAATGACCACATATCAATATAGTGTCTTCTATTATCAGACATTCTATTCCATGTTGCAGGATGAAAATCATAAAAACTGTCCCAGATGGATGTTCTCATGCCTTTAAAATATGGTCATATCAAAATTGTATTGCTTTTGGACAAAACTCCAAATCAGAAAACAGATGACATGCAAACTGTGAATTAGTATGAAGTTAGATTGTGTTTCCATGCATGAAAATGGCATTCCTCATCTGGTTATGTTTATGGCTTTATCAGATAAGTATAGCTCCACAGCAATGTCCTGTTGGGTGTGAAATGACTTACGTTCCCTACATGTTTCTTCAGAGCAGATGCTGTATCCTGCCGTGCAGTGAAAACCCTAGCCTCACCTCATGCAAATGTTTGTTGGTAAACACATTTTTTGCTCAGTTTTTACAAAATAAGAAACTATTTACATTTACAAATATGGTTGCATCAAGAAAAGAAAATATTCAAGAGCATTAATTCTTAGCACCTTTGGGGAAACCTTATTCTTTCATAATGCATTTTCAGATCATCTGCTTTTACCAGGGGTCATCTATTACATCTACCATTTTTTATTTGAAACAGTGGAATAATTTGGCACATCCCTAGGTGCTTCTTGGTCACCGCCTACATGTTATTTATCTTTATCACCATAATTTTTCTCCAGGATAGTAATTGTCTGTAAGAAGTGAACAGGTTCTTGTTCTGACTCAAAATTCCACCAAAATATTCTGATATTCTATTCCTTATAGATCATGTAATACACATCAACATATTGATCTTATCCAGAATGACTTCCCTCACACAATTTCTTTCTCCTTATTCCTTATCCTGAGATACTTATATAAGGATGATTGACATTTCTCTTTACTTCTTAGAAGATTAACATAAAGACTTCCCTAAAAATTAATCAAAGTAACTATTTGCTATTGTTATTATATAAATCATTCTATGTGGTAGATAAGCACTTTGGATATACTATTTAATAATAACACAAAAGTCCTAATACTATCCCAATGTTGCAAATCAGGGAACTAAGGCTTGCAGAATTGAAATGCTTTGCAATAAGCGTAAGAGTTCATAAGCAGCAGCAGTGGAGTCGTGACCCAGGTAACTCCAGAGCCTTGTGGGACACAACACTACCCCGTCTTTAGCATTTAGCCTGTCAGCTCTCCATACTGCTCTTCCTGGCCCCATGGGTGTTGTGCCCCAGAAGCTACTGGTCATCATCTTGGTGGTTTCACTCCTCAGCTTCACCCCTTAAATCTGTCATGAATATATCATTGTCTGACTTCTGTATCTAGGGCTGAAGCACTGTATGTTTCAGGCATATTCTTTATAATTAAAGAATAAAGTAAGTTAGTGATTTATCAGCACGCACTTTCTGAGGCATAAAAAGGGGAGTTCCAATTTTACCTGCAAAATGTGTGGTGTTCTATATAAATATCTGCTTGTGTCACTGATAATAACAACAAGATTTGAGAAGATCAAGATAGGTTACAGACAGCCAATAGGTAATAGGTTCCTTTCCACATCCCAGAAAGAATACTTCCTGCATAGACCTCAGTCCTTTGACCCTATGGATGAGCCATTCCAGTGGCCTTTGGTCACTTGCTATGACCTCACACCCACTGGAGAAAACAGAACAAACGTACACCCACATGTGCAATTTCTTACCAAAAGGGCTATATAAATTTCTCAACTCACAAAGGTTTACCAATATACATTTTACTCAGAAGAGAGAGCATCTAAGTAGTCAAACAAAAATCTGATCCTTGAGAAAACTCTAAATGTCAATAATCTCCTCCTCTAATGAACAACAGCTCATGGAAATTAAAGAAGCTACTTATAGAAGACAGATTGAAAGTCACAGTGAATTGTCTGTATTCGACACATTTGCAGGAGCTAAAACTGGCTGAAGTATCTTTCAAATTGATTATTTTCATTTTAATATTCTCCTGTACCATAAAGGGTTCGAGCTTCTTTGGCCAATATTCATAGATGTTTTGAATCACCACTTATTTGGTTTGCAAAAAACCCAGACTTCGCCCAGGATTACCCTCCCCTGTATCTGACCGTCCTCAGGGATGTTTACTTGTAACAATAATATTCCCCAGGCTCTGCCCAATATCAGGTCATAATTAAAGGCCTCAAATAATTAAAGCTGAACTAACGAACCTCATGCTTATTTAATTTTATTTTAAGTTATGGGAATATGTGCAGGGCATCCAGGTTTGTTACGTAGGTAAATGTGTGCCATGGTGGTTTGCTGTACCTATCAAACCCATCACCTAGGTATTAAGCCCAGCATGAATTAGTTATTTATCCTAATGCTCTCTCTCCCCCAACCTTCCCCCGGCAGGCCCCAGTGTATGTTGTTTCCCCTCCTTGTGTTTATGTTCTCATTGTTCAGCTCCCGCTTATAAGTGAGAACCTGCAGTGTTTGGTTTTCTGTTCCTGCATTAGTTTGCTGAGGATAATGGCTTTGAACTCCATCCATGTCCCTGCAAAGGACATGATCTTATTATTTTTATGGCTGCATAGTATTCCGTGATGTATATGTATTACATTTTCTTTATCCAGTTTATCATTGATGGGCATTTGGGTTGATTCTGTGTCCTTGCTATTGTGAACAGTGTTGCAATGAACATACACGTGCATATATCTTTATAACAGAATAATTCATATTCAAAAAACTACTAGAGAAAACAACCCAGTTAAAAAGTGGGCAAAGGATATGAACAGACACTTCTCAAAAGAAGACATTTATGTGGTCAACAAACATGAAAAAAGCTCGACATCATTGATCATTAGAGAAATACACATCAAAACCACAATGAGATACCATCTCATGCCAGTCAGGCTGGCAATTATTAAAAAGTCAAGAAACAACAGATGCTGGTGAGGCTATGGAGAAATAGGAATGCTTTCATCCTTTCTTTTTTATGTCAGTCTAAGAATCCCCAGTGGGTAAAGAGGGCTCTGCTTCACACAGAATGCAAGTCCGTGACTGTGGCTCTACCATCCTTCTCTTTTGGCTAAAACTCTGTGTTTCTGCACCATTGTTCAGCCATTGTTCTACTCATATTAAGTCACTGTGCAATGCCTCTCTGTGCCAAAGGGTATGGCCTACCTTGAACCACTAACGTCCCTTGAGAGTGCATTATTTTCTCTTTCTAATGCCAATTCCTTGGACTTTCCATCGTCTGCTGTCAGACCTTCAGTTTTCACATGGTTCTCCATCATAAAGAAACACTTTCTTCTCCAAATATTCAGCCTAGAAGAGGATTCCACAGTAGAGAGTCTTGGACGTCCATCCATCAGGATCTTCTTTATCATTTCTATAAGGAGGTAAGCAATCTGGGGTGCTGCATCAGAGGGTGGTCAAGTGCAGCCATGTACTACAGTTGGAATTATTGTTTATTCTGGCCCACTCTATTGCAATTCTCTGTATGTACATGTGATTTTTCTCTCAAGAATTGTATTGCACCGCCTTGAAACATGGCTTTTTGAGTGGGCCTATCTGAGTCCTTCAGCCATGGCTGGTATCTCTTACTCGGCCATGTTGGCAATGTCTTGTCTGCATATTTCTAAACTCTATATATAGGGCTGTAGCCAATCAGGGACAGTCTAGAGCTTTTCTTCCAAGAACACTTTGTCATTTAAATGGCTTGTCTCCCAGAGTAGAAAGAGGAGTTCTAAGAGAGTATAATAACTAACTTCATGGGTCTATTTAAATTTCAGCCAAATGCTCTCCCTGTACTTCTAATAATTGACGATAACTAATGAAGTCATCTTAATTCACAAATATTACTTTGAGACAGAAATGTCATCAATAAGTAATCAAAAACATTTTTGTAATTAGGACTGGAGATACAGTTTTGTCAAGAAAATCACATATAGCAAGAAAGAGCACCTAAGGGATGGATAAATACAATAATTCATATTCATGTATACACCTTCTCAGAATAATCAAAATTACTAGTAACCCCTCTATAACCCCTCTATTGGTAAATGGTTTGATTAGAAGTAGAGGTGGAAATATTCCAAAAATGTTTCTTAAAGTTTCCTCTTCACCAATAACAAGTTTGTGTTCTCCACTTTTTAGGATTTAATGTAATTTGCACCAATTTAATGTAATTTGTAATTAATTTATAATTAATTTTATTAATGATTAGATTAATCATTTATATATCTACTTCTGGCAATGATAGACTGAGTAGTGTAGACCAACTGTCTCGCTCAACCAGAAATACTGAATCAAAAAATTGCTTAAAAGCATCAAAATGTTAAGTTAGTGAGGGCTATCTGGATAAAGAAATAAACCCAGGTTGTTGAGCCTGGCATTTGAGGCCAGGTATCTACAAGCACATTAGCCAATTCGAGAAGAGGTGCTGAAAGTAAAGTTGCTGGCTGGGCGCAGTGGCTCACACCTGTAATCCCAGCACTTAGGGAGGCCAAGGTGGGCAGATCACCTAAGGTCAGGGGTTCAAGACCAGCCTGGCCAACATGGTGAAACCCCGTCTCTACTAAAAATACAAAAATTAGCCAGGCATGGTGGTGGGCACCTGTAATCCCAGCTGCTTGGTGGGGCTGAGGCAGGAGAATTGCTTGAATCTGAAGGGCGGAGCTTGCAGTGAGCCAAGATTGTGCCACCATACTCCAGCCTGGGCGACAGAGCAAGACTCCATCTCAAAAAAAGAAAAAGAGAAAGAAAGAAAGAAAGAAAGAAAGAAAGAAAGAAAGAAAGAAAGAAAGAAAGAAAGAGAGAGAGAGAGAGAGAGAGAGAAAGAAAGAAAGAAAGAGAAAGAAAAGAAAAAGAAAAGTTGCTAAAGCACTCTAGCATTCTTTTAGAAACAATATAAATGATTTCTGGAGGATGATACCATTATTTAAGATTTTAAAATTGATTACAAATTATAGATACAATAACCAGCATTCAATCAGAAATGGCCAGGTCCATGAGCAAACAAAGCAATGTGACTGCAAACTAAGAGAAACTCACACAAACAATATGAACAGACTCAAAGAAGACCCAAATAATGCAGCTATCAGACATATATTTTAAATATTGTTACCCTAGTCAAAGAATAAAAGACAAGACTGATGTTGCCTGGGCATGGTGGGAGGCACTTGTAATCCCAGCATTTTGAGAGGCCAAGGCTGGAAGATAGCTTGAGCCCAGGAGTTCGAGACCAGTTTAGGCACATTGGGAGATTGCCCCTACAAAAAAAAAAAAAAAAAAAAAAAACAATTAGCCAGGTGTGGTGGCACACACCTGTAGTTCCAGCTACTTGGGAGAGTGAGGTAAAAGGATAGCTAGTGCCCAGTTAAGTCAAGGCTACAGTGAGCCATGATTGCACCACTGCACTCCAGCCTGGGTGACAAAGTGAGACCCTGTTTTACAAAAAAAAAAAAAAAAAAAGACTGGCTGGGCACAGTGGCTCACGCCTGTAATCCCAGCACTTTGAGAGGCCAAGGCAGGTGGATCATGAGGTCAAGAGATCCAGACCATCCTGGCCAACATGGTGAAACCCCATCTCTACCAAAAATACAAAAATTAGCTGGGCATGGTGGTACACACCTGTAGTCCTGGCTACTTGGGAGGCTGAAGCAGGAGAATCGCTTGAACCCAGGAGGTGGAGATTGCAGTGAGCTGAGATCATGCCACTGCACTCCAACCTGGCAACAGAGCGAGACTCTGTCTCAAAAAAAAAAGAAACTGAGATTGGTTGTGGTAAACTAAAAGTAATAAATAAGAGCCAATTAAAAATGCTAGCATTTTTAAATTAATAACAATAGTGAATTGTTTCATAGCACATTAGACAGAGTTGAAAAGAGAACAAGTGAAGTGGAAAATAAGACATAAAAGCACACAGTTTGAAGCATTGAGAGACAAGAACAGAAAAATAATACAATAAATATCAAGCTTACAGGACAACAGTGTAACATGTATGTATTGAAGTCCAAGAAAAAAAGTAGGGGAGGGGAGAGGAAGAACTGGATACAAATGATTTTTAAAAAGTAAGCCACAGTTTCAAGAAACCCTACAAACTACAAACTATATCAATACAAAGAGAAGCATACCTAGGTATGTAACTGTAAAACTGTTGTAAACGAAAGACAAAGATGAATTCTTAAAAGCAGTCACAGGAAAAAAAATATTGACATATTATCTTAAAAGGAGAAGTAATTCATTCCCTAGGACTGATTTCTAAACAAAACAATAGAAAGCACTAGAAAGTGCTAAGAGAAAACTTCCAACATGGAATTCTATACATAAAAAATAAAGATGACATTTAAAAAAAATCAGACTAAAACTAAGATAATTTATCACCAGTGGACTGTTCCACAGAATATAACAAAGGAAGTTTTTCAGGCAGAGAAGTGAGGCTGGAACTAGAAATACATTAATTAGGAGACTATTATAAGATTCTCAGTGGGAGATGAGGAGGACCTATGGGGATTCTTTCAACACAGGAAATCCTGTATTAAAAGAGCTACACACACACACACATGCACACGAATACACCAGGACACCACAACACTAATAGAGGAAAGCAAGAGCTCCCAGGAGGTAAGGTGTCCACCACAGGGCCTTTAGCTATGCCTTCAGTAGAAACTCAGTTGGCCCATGAAAATTTCCTAATGTAATACACAGCTTAGTTCTGCAGGGACATCCAGAACTTGCAGTTTGCAGAACTCATAATTAGCTTGGCTCAAATCCCACTTTCAGGATGCTAATTACACATATTTCCCCTATTCCACAGCAACAAGGGCTTCCACTTCTAGCTCACTGCTGAGCCTCCCTTCCACCTTATTACCTGAAGACGCTGCTGGCCAGCCAAGACACACAGAACACCATCCAAAATCCAAGAAGCAGAGCCAAGAGGCACCATTTGGGAAACAATCCAAATTAGTGACACCATCTGCCTGTCCTTCTAATAATGTCATACCACCCACCTTGCTTTAAAAAAAAAATGGAAAAATATTTTAAAGGCCACTTAAAGATACAAACTGAATCCATCCTATTGTGTTTCTACTTCTCCCATCCAGGCAATTCCACCATTCAGTTTCCACTGATCCCACCAGCCCATAACAGAAAACCATGAACTTTGGCTAGAAATCAGTGATTTCCTAAGACACACCATCAACTTCCTTAGCTTTGCTAGTTTAACTCGCTTAGTCATTAATCCAATAAGACAAACTTTGGGTCAACTCCAACTTCAATTTCTTTCTCTGACTTCTCCAATTTTTTTGTTCATGGCTTTTGCCTCTGTTCAAATCACTGGGTCTTTGCTTTCTGACCTCCTGCTCCACCACTCTCATTATTACCTTAAGAAAAAAAGAAAAAATCACTCAACATAGCAGAGGCCTGGGAAGGGGCCCAGCCTACTCCTGTTCAGTTTTAGCAATTATAAATAAGAATGTTGAGAATTTGGGGGCAAAATATAATAATTTTTAAAAGATTAGCTTTTGGTGTTTTGCCCAAGGAAAATATTATGGAATAGTGAAATATCACTTTTGACTGCAGGTATCAGGTTTAATGGTGTTTGTTGATGCAATTTATCTGGAAGAATAAAGACTATAATAAAGAGACAGCCAAGGAGAAGACAACTGTGTGAGCCAAAGTTTTGAGTAAGAGAATGACTTCACAGCAATGTGCAGGACTTAGGACTTAGGAAGTAAAATGGGAAAAGCAGATAAGTAGAGCACTTGGACTAGAGTAATGGTGAAATCTACTCCAGTTGTTGGGCCACCGATCATTGTAATTGTGAGTTATAGCTGAATTCAAAATAAAAATACTATGAAATTCACCTAAATGTCCATCAACAATTATAAAAAGAAAATTCGGTGTATATATATATATATACACACACACACACACATATATACATATATATACACATATATATACATATATACACACATATATACACATATATATACATATATACACATATACACATATATACATATGTATACACATATATATACATATATACACACATATACACACACACATATGTGTGTGTGTATCAACAATTATAAAAAGAAAATTCGGTGTATATATATATACACACACATATGTGTGTGTGTGTGTGTGTGTGTGTATATATATATACACACACATATATATATATGTGTGTGTGTGTGTATATATATATACACACCATGGAATATAACTCAGCCATAGAAAAGAACTAACTCATGTCTTTTGCAGCAACATAGATGGAATTGGAGGCCATTATCTTAAATAACTCAGACACAGAAAATCAAATACTGCATGTTCTAAGTGGGAACTGAATTATTTGTACACATGGGGACATAGAAAGTAGAATAATAGACATTAGAGACTTGAAAGGTGAGAGACCAGGATGGAGATGAGAGATGAAAGTACCTAATTGGTACAATGTACACTATTCGGGTGATGGTTACACTAAAAGCCTAGACTTTACTACTATGCAATATATCCATGTGACAAAACTGCCCTTGTACCCCATAAATCCACAAAAAGATAACAAAATTTAAGTTAAAATAAAATTATTAAACAAAATTTAAATTTAATTTAAGTTAAATACTTGTAAAGACTTTGCCTATTTGTGAGCTTAGTTACTGCACACAGTTTCTTGCAGAGAGATTTTTGTCAGTGACTTTCACATTTTAAATAATATTTAAAATATAATTGAATATGTTTTAATAAATTACTGTTAAGAATAAGTCTATCGGCTGGGCATGATGGCTCATGCCTGTAATCCCAGCACTTTGGGAGGCCGAAGCAGTTGGATTGCTTGAGCTCAGGAGTTCAAGACCAGCCTGGGCAACATGACGAAAACTATCTCTACGAAAAATAAAAAAAAAAAAAAAAATTAGCCAGTTGAGGTGGCACACACCTGTGGTCCCCACTACACAGGAGGCTGAGGTGGGAGGATTGCTTGAACCCAGAAGATCAAGCTGCAGTGAGCTGAGAAAGCACCACTGCACTCCAGCCTTGGCGACAGAGCAAGACCCTGTATCCAAAAAAAGAAAAAGGATAAGACTGTTCAACAATGTAGCTAGCATATTTGAGCTATGTCATGAACACTATTGGGATAAAGATTTTTTTTTTAATTTTGAAAAGATCTTTGAAAAGAAAAGAGGAAGTGTGAGATCTGATATAAGTGTTGGGCTGAGTATTTTAATCTGGGAATCAGGCTGTTGCTGAAGAACATTCTGTTTCACAGGCTTATGTGTACATGAAAAAAAAGTAGAGAATAAACCTCCAGATTTGGTAAATATTATACAAGCAGAATAAACCTCCAGGTATGGTAAATATTATAGAAGATAATATAAGACTTGGGTACAAGATGCTTCCCTGCCAAAGAAGATGGTATAAAAGATCATCCCAGAAAAAGATTTTGAGAAATATGCCACATCAATAATGTGTACAGCATGGTTACTATGAGTCTATAATTTAGCATGGCCTATAAATTTGGGCACCTTAGTTTAAATGTAAATATAAACATGCCAAATATAAAATTTCAGTATAACTATAAAAATGATTGAGCTGAGAAGAGGGTGAATGGCAGGTTAATATTTACTAAACTATTCAATCAGTATATTGTGTTCAATGGCATTTGTTCTACTATCTCTCCCTTAGGTCAAACTAAACAAGATGATAATATTAAGGGAGCTACCCTTCATACAGCTCTTACCACCAGGCACTATACATATGATTTTTTTCATATGCATTATCTCATTTATTCCTGACAATAAATGTATGAAGTCTCCATTTAACAATGAGGAAACTAAGGCACAGAGAGGTAAAGTTACACATAGAGCAAAGACTGAAAAAAGAAATTACTCCAAAGCCTGTGCTGCTAAGGCTTCATCACATTGTCTGCATTCCATTGCTTTTCAATTTCCTGTGGCATTAATAACAATAGTGAGAATGGCAAGAATGGGAAAAAAGTATAAGGAAAGAGTATTAATTAGGACTAGATTTGATTCATGTAACAGAGAACCTAAAACTGATTTTTAAAGACAAATTTATTTATATCTCATATGAAATAAATGCAGAATTAAGCAGTTCAGGGCTGGTATGTCAGCTTTCCATTGGCCAGCAACCATTCTCCCACCTTGCTGTTCCACTATGCTTATTAGCATGTTGCCTCATGTCTCAAAATGGCTGCTTTTGCTCCAGGCAGGGAGCACATAGTAGAAAGAGACAAAAAAGACAATGACAAATGGCACCCACAATGCCTTCTAAGAAGCTTCCTGGAAGCTTCTGAATAGCATTTCTGCTTACATCTCATTGTTCAGAACTAAAACATATAAGCACATCTAGCTATACGGAAATACCGGGAGATGTAGTCTTTATTTGCAAAGCCATATAGATAATTTAAAACTGGATTTTCTTACTGATAAAATATAAAATAATGTATTTGAGGAAGGCAAATGGCAAGATATGATTTTAATAATGACCAGATAATAGAGGCAAAAGAAAGGGAAGAGCCAAAGGAAAAGGCTTCAAATGTTCAGATTCTTGCTGATTAGAGGGAGAGCAATTAGCAGCAGTAGGCTAGAAAACAGGAGGAGAAACAGACTGGAGGAAGAGTACACAGGGAAGATAAATACAACTGTAGAATTACAGTATGGTGGCTGAATTATGAATGGAAATTAAACAAATCATTATAACAATGGGGTTTTTTCATCACTGTTACTGTAGAAATATGATTAATTCTGAATCTTTTTGCAGCTTGTAAATATTAAGCATTCAAATTAAAAGTAGTTTTTCCATAGGAGCACATTTTGAAAATACAAGTCATTCAACACAACCATAAACACTCCAAACATTATTCTTCAGGCTTATTGATTACTGCACTTAAAATAACGTTTTAGTTCTTTAATAGATATTGAGATTTTGTTTTGAAAAGAAGGAAACTGAGCATTCTTAGAATCTAGACTAGCCAATCCCAGAGTGAGTCACTGAGGTCAGTAAAACAAACAGTCTTTAGCCCAAACCCAAGGAAAAGATCTTTCAAGGAGACCAAGTGGGGTAACATGAGCATGAAGTGATTAACCTGCTTGAATTATTTGTCAACTGAGATTCCATGTGTTTTGCTCATCTCACCAGCATACAGAAATTAGCCTACTAGAGATTGGCCTTTGGCCAGATGTACAGGACATTGTTGTCTGCAGTAGATGCAGAAAATATAAAAATGCTGTCAGCTCTTTCCCTACCTTCAAGTCAAGAAGCTTTTCCAGGACAGGGTCATGTCTTCCTCATCTTTGCTTCCCAGCTGCTTGGCATATCATCTGTCGCAGAGCAACTTCTCAGTATACGTTGAAAAATACTTCTGAAGTGTTCTGCTCCAATCAGAATTTTGCCTTACCTTAAGGATCTGAATAGCATCACATCAGCATTTGTATTCCTGGACCTGAAAGAGAAGAAGATGTAAAGTTCCTCAGATCCTACCTGTTCAGACACAGCCATCCTTCAGTGTCATCTCTGTACCGAAGACCTCTCCAGCTGCATCAACCTTTCCATATCCTAAATGCCTTAATCTTAATGCAACTTTGGACCACGTAAGGCATTCTCTGATTTAGTGGTTCTAACGCAAGGTCAATGACACAGTGGCTGTGAAATAAGTTGTGAGAAGAAAGGGCTTTTCAGCTAGCCCTGGGAGTCAAATGTAGTTCAAAGACTCTGTTACCTCTAATGTAGCCTGATGTCTCCAGGAATGTGGAAAAAAAACATGAAGAGCTACTCCTCTGACAGTTTCATGTTGATTGTTCTCCATTTGTTAGTTTTGTCTCATTGTCTAAATTGTAAACTAGAAAATTTGGATAATTCTCTACATAATGCTCCATTTCATTGATAAATAATTTACAAGTAAATTATTTAAATATGTTTTTAAAATGTATGACTTTTACATATAAGTAATACTTTTTACTTTCATGTACATTGAAGGCAATCTCTATACAGGAACATACAGAGCTGCCATGTTCTTATTAATAGCTGCACACTATTTTGAGGACATATGTACATATACAAGTATAGACACCTATATGCACAAATATATATATGTATACATGCCATAACTTAAACAATTTCCTATTGATACGCATTTATATTATTTTGATTTCACATGAGCTCAAAATGGAACTCAAATAATTCTGCAATTATCCTTTTACAAATATACTTTTGTGTGAAGTGGCATTGTAGGATCAACAAATAAGCACATTTTAAAATTTCTATACTCTTGCCCAATTTCTTACCAAACCTGTGGTACCCATTTCTGTCCCATTCAACAGTGTGGAGGGAGCCTTGTTCCATACTTTCTTCTATTCTTTCTTAATTTAGACAGTACAACAGGTAAAACATTATAGTATCTCAATGTTTTAATTTGCATTTCTTTGACTACAGAAATTGAGCGAACACTCAGGTGTGAAGTGTTTTAGTTCATTTGAGCTGCTATAACAATTTATGATAGACTAGATGGCTTATAAACAATCGAAATCTATTTCTTACAATTCTAGAGATTGGAAGTCTAAGATCACACAGCCAGCATGGTTGGGTTCTGGTGATGGCTGGCTCTGGTTCATACATGGTTCTCTGAAGTGGGATTTTGAGAGCTACAGACACTTAATACCACTAAGTAGTTTTCCACAGCAAGGGAGCCCTATGGTTTCAAAATACTGTAGGGAGAAGTCCATGTATCAAATTGGAAGCCTCCTGGGTGTCAATGCTCAACTTCAAAGAGTTGCTAGAACCTCTGCAGAAACCGAGCCACAATTTCTATGACCTACATTTTTTTTTTCTGCAGTGAACCAGGTCATGCAACCTAAGAGACTTCCCCAACAAAAGATCTTGAACTTCTGGAGTATTACCCCCAAGCATTTTCTACTGTAAGCTAGAATTTTTTCTAATAATTTATTTCTGATATAAGGGAATGCTATTGGTTTTTACACATTAATCTTGTATCTCCACTAAAATCTATTTCTAGTAGCTTTTTCATGTCATCTATAATGTTATTTTATCAACTTATTAAAAATAGTTAATTTTCATGTCATATGTGATAAAAATCTATTTCTTCCTTATACAGCTTATTGCTTTTTCTTCCCTTTTTATGTTGACTGAAAGTACCAGGAAGATACTGAATACTAATCATGGCATGTATATACAAAGAGAAAGGAAGGATTATTTTAAATTATCCAAATAAATAATTTGACATTTCAATCTGTTTGCTATTGTGAATGTACATATACTTTCCTTCTGGGAGCTCCAAAGGACAAACTTGGCCGACTCCATGCATAACAGCGCCAGAATGCAAAGCTCCACCAGCACGGAGTTTCAAATTCACTTCCCACTACTCCTTTGACCAGAGACTCCTGTGGGACTTTTCTAGCGGGACTATGCACAAAATAAACAGAGCTCCAGCCCAAGACTCTTTAGTCTACCACATAAAACCAGGAAGGAATGTTTTTACCTCTTCTATGGAAATTCACTACAGCCATCAGTTGCACCACTGCAATTGCACACTTCCTACTGGATGCAACACATAGTGAGTACTAATACGTGCCAAGCCATGTATGTTGGTTGGCATTGTGGAAAACATGCAGTCTGGTAAGACATGATTCTAACATATAAGTGTTAATCACCCTCTAGAAGTAATAACCCGTGTAATGGCAGGTATACTAACACTTTACATGTTTTTCTCATTTAATTCTCAAAACAATATTTTATGCCCACTTTACAATAAAAAGGGTAAACCTGACTTCATTGTGTTCTACCTGTGAGTGATATTATGCAGATATCCAATGGCTTTCAGTTACATCCTTTGAACACGATTTTTAACATTTTAAAGTGTTTATAATCTTCTCTTTAATCCATGTGCTCTGAAATTTCATGGTAAAGCTCATGTGTATTTTTCCCTTCTTTTCAGGGGGTGACATTCATTCTCTTGAATACTCAGGTAATTTTCTCAGGCTGGAAACTCATGTCTTTGGTTCTAGAAATAAAAGTTAATTATTTTCTTGACAATTTTCTACCTTATTTCCTCCTCAGTCTTTCTGAAATTCTCTTTATCTAGATATTTGACCTCTTCCACTAACCTTTTACATCTTCTCTTATCAATTTTCTACCTGTTTGTCTTATTCTTTTGGGAAAATTGTATCAACTTTATCATCCAAATTTTTTGAATTTTTTGTCATATTTTCAGTCTCCAAAAGCCCTTTTTCTGTTTCTTTTTATTGCACCCAGTTTTTACTCCATGGAGACATTTTTTCCCTATCTCAAGATATTTTTTGAAGTTTTGTTAAGTTTTATGTATTGTCTCTTTTACCTCTAAAATCTTTTTCTTTTGTACTTTTTTGTATTAAAAATTCTCCATAAAGACCTAAAAAGTAGATGCATAGTCCAAGCGTATCAGCCATCATCCTAATTTCAAAATTACTGGGCTGGAGTATTTCCCAGGGACACTGATCAGTACTTGTAAGTCTTCTTGAGCTAGTTTCCCCCAGAAGAAAATCCCAATGTCCTGCCTTAAGTATATAAACTTGGTGGTCTGGTTTCTCGGAGGCAAGTGGAATAACTTGAATGGGATATTTTCCGTGTGTACACTTTCAAAATATCCTTTACTTTTCGTATGAATACCTAAAGTTCAGGTACTCCTGGAGTCCCTAAGTCCCTGAGTTCCTCTTACTCAGCATCTCCAGAGAGCATTCAGTCTTCTTCTTGGGTAAGGCAGAAGCAGTCAGGCAGCTCTGAGAAATGAAATAGGAATCCTGTGGCTCTAAAATGCTTCTTCTGTGGACATTCAACCAATCTTACTGTATACAGCCTCTCTGTGGCCCCCATCACCCCCACTTTCAGTGTTGGCTCATACCTCCAATTCCTGGGAATTTCTGTGGCTCTGCCACAAGAATCTACTTGCATCTTAGTCCCTCGCTGGCAGCTTTCTCTGGTCTGCTGAATCCATTACCACTGCACCATGTGCTTTCTAACTTTCAGAGTCTTAATGCTGTACTTTCCTCTCTCTTTTGTCTTTATATTATTGCCTTTTGTATTCCTTTTTCTTTCATTTTAGTTGGATTTTGGTGCTTCAAGGCTTATATTTGAAAGGACAGCTGGGATACACACTTATCTCTGCTCCTTCCTGAAACTCCAATATATTCTTGGAGGGTAAGTTTCTTCCCTTTTCTGTCTTATTTTCTACCTTGTGTGGAATACAATGGAATAACCATGGAATAAACTTTTTCAAAATTTTACACGTATGTGTTTTAATTTTTTGTTTTGAAATAATTTCAAACTTACAAAAAAGTTCTAAGAGTAGTAAAGAGAATTTCTGTTTATCTCCTATCTATATCTACCAAACTTTAATATTTTGCCACACTTGCTTTATCATTCTTTCTGATAGCTAGACATAGGTATAAATATATATGTGTATAATTTACTTTTTCTAAACCATTTGAAAGTGATCCATACATCATGCCCCTTTTTAACCTCGATACTTAAATATGTATTTCCTAAAAATGAGAAAATTATCTTACATAATCAGATTATGATTATCAAATTCAGGAAATTTTATATTTATACAATACTTTAATATACATTCCTTTTCCAATTTTATTCATTGATCCAATAATGTATTTTGTAACACTTTTTTCCTGCAGCACAGAATCTAGTCTAAGACCACATATCAAATCTGTTGTCACGTCTTTCTAGCGTCTTTCAATCCAGAACATTTCCTTGGCCTTTGTCTTTCACAACATGGACATTATTGAAGAATATAGTATTTTATGGAGAGTTACTCAATTGGGGTTTGACTGTTATTTCCTCCTGAGTAAATTAAGCATCCTTAGTTTGAATACCCCATAGATTATGTTTTGTCCTTCTCAGAACAATGTATCTGGAGGCACAGGATGTCCACCTGCCACTAATTAGTGTTAATTTTGATTACCAAGTCAATTTGTTGTCCAGTTTCAGCACAGTATAGCTGCAACGTGAGCATTCTGTGAGGAGACAACTGAGACTAGGCAAATATCCTACTCTTTATTAAACTTTCCTCCCTAGTTTTAACACTCACTGAAAATTCTTATTTGAATCAGTTTTTAATATAATGTCTGCAAAATAGTTACTTCTTTCAAATTTACCTACCTTTTGACATAAAACTCATATGTGTTATGAGAAATTAATCTAAATTTATTCTTTATCAAGTGGTTATCCATTTGTCTTAACATCAGTTATTTTAAAAGCTCATTTTTGTTCCAGTGATTTGATATACATCTTTTTCAAATAATTTTCACCTGGGGTTGGTTTTATTTCCAGAGTTGTATTCCATTGGTCTATCTATGTGCCAATACCACATACTGATTTAATTATAGATCTTAATTTTCAGTGTCTTCCTATTCTTGCATATTAACTTTCACATGAACTGTATTAGGGTTTCCAAAGAAATAGAATAGGATATATACATATATACGTAAATAAGAGGGGATTTATTATGCACACTGGCTAACAAGATTATGGAGGCCAAGAAGTCCCACAATCTGCTGTCTGCAAGCTGGGGAAGCAGGAAAGCTGGTGGGGTCATTCAGCCTGAGTCCAAAGTCCTGAGAACCAGGGGAGCCAATGGTGTAACTCAGTTTGAGTCTGAAAGCCTGAGAAAGGAGAGCCTTTGGTGTAACTCCTGTAGTCAAAAGACCCAAGAACCATGAGCCCCAGTGTCTGAAAGCAGGAAAAGATGGATGTCCCAGCTCAAGAAGAGAAAGTGAATTCATCTTTCCTCTGCTTTTTTGTTCTATCTGGGTCCTCAACAGATTGGATGATGTTGGCCCACATTGTGGGTGGTGAAGAGGGCTCTTTACTCAGTTCACTGATTCTCTTCTGGAAACACCCACACTGACAAACCCAGAAATGTTTTACCAGCTGTCTGGGTATCCCTTAACCCAGTCAAGTTGGCACAAAATTAATCATCAGGTGAACTTTGGCACAAAATTTTGGCACAAAATTAATCATCAGGTGGTATCAACATGACTAGCTCCAGGAAAGAAAGAAAAACTTATTGGTATTTTTATTGGGATTACAATAAATGTATAAGTAATCTTTTGGAGAGAACTGACATCTTAATAATATTAAGGCATCCTAACCAAGAACATAGGATGTATTTCCATTTATTCAAGCCTACTTTTGAAACATTCAGGAGTATTTCATAGAGGTTATGAACACTTGTTAAATTTATTCTTACATGTATTATTTCTTCCTCACTATCATAAATGGGATTTTCTTTTTATAACTTCTGGTTGTTTGTGTACATGTATGTTATTGATTTTTGCATGTTAATTTTATATCTAGCTACTGTGCTGAGTTCTTTTATTGTTTGTGTTAGATCTATTTTGATTCTCTAGAGTTTTTCAGGTACACTATTTCATCTGCAAATAGAGATAATTTTGGTAGGGTTTTTTTTCCCCCCAATCCTGTTCCTCTAATCAGCAGTCCTCAACCTTTTTAACATGAGGGACCAGTTCTGTAGAAAACAATTTTTCCATAGATGGCTGGGGGGATGATTTCAGGATAAAACTGTTCTACCTCAGATCATCAAGCATTAAATTCTCATAAGGAGCATACAGCCTAGGTCCCTTGTACGTGCAGTTCACAATAGGGTTCACTTCCATAAGAATCTAATACCACTGCTGATCTGACAGGAAGCAGAGCTCAGGTGGTATATTAGTCCATTTTCATGCCGCTAATACATACATGAGACTGGGCAATTTACAAAAGAAAGAGGTTTAATGCACTTATAGTTCCACATGGCTAGGGAGGAGTTACAATCACGGCAGAAGGTTAAAGGCATGTCTTACATGGCAGCAGACAAGAAAAGAGAACTTGTGCAGGGAAACTCCCACTTATGAAACCATCAGATCTTGTGAGATTTATTCACTGTCATGAGAACAGCATGGGAAAGACCTACCCCCATGACTCAATTACCTCCTACCAGCTCCCTCCCAGAACACATGGGAATTCAAAATGAGATTTGGGTGGGGACACAGTCAAACTATATCAGGTGGTAATGCTCGCTTGCCCTCCACTTACCTCCTGCTATGCAGTCCAGTTCCCAACAGGCCATGGAATGGTAGCAGTCCATGGCCTAGGGTTGGGGACTCTTGCTCTAATCGATTTCTTTTGACTGACTGCATTAAGTACAACCTCCAATATGGTAAATAGTAGTGGGGACAGTGGATATTCTTTGCTTTTTGCCTGTTATTACTGGAAATGCCTCTCTTTTCCTGTTTCTAATTAAGATTCTAGCTTTAGGATTATGTATGTATTTCATTACATCAAGGGCTTTTTCAACAGCTATGGGGATAATCATATAATTTTTCTCCTTGGTGCTATTAAAGTAGATCGTGTCAGTGATGGTGGTGATTAAGGAAGAATAAAGGTTGGTGCATCTTTTTCCTTTCCTTCTACAGGATCCTTAATTTCCCCTTTAAGTTTGTTTCTTACCCTCTTCAACATCTTTAAGAGGCCGCCACCCCTTCTCCATTTATCTTTCCTTGTTCTCCAAAAACAGTGACTCTTCCAGGTTGTCACCTATGGTTTCACACTTTCAAGCCCTTTCCTTGTAGCTGGTGCTGTGAACTGCCAAATCCCAAACCTATGAGCTCAGTATTTAGGCATTAATGTTAGACTTTCTCTTCCTGGCAATGAATTTTGTACTTTATGTATGTGCTCTGTTTTTCCAATCAGTTTTATAGTCTCTTCAGACTCTGCTCTCTGCATACACTAGCTGAAGTCACCGCTGAAGCTCTATTGGTATGTCTGTTGGGATTTGATGTTTATTTTTTTACTTACAGGTCATTTAATTTTGTTGTATTTTCTTTCTCCTAGTAATACTGAAAGTGTGGGTTACATAGTTTTATTTGCACTCCCTTGTTGATCTTATGGTTTTTTAAAGAATATTTTGAAAAATTCAGATCCATGTGGCAACATTGTGTTCCATACCCAGAAGACACAGACATATGTGTTTTGGACAATTTGCTACAATTGGGTATTACTTAAAACAGACACAACATGCACACACACACACACTCCTTGGGAAAAAGTAGTTCTGAAAAGAAAGGCAAATGATGGTGTTAAAGGAAAATTTAAATAATAGAAAGTAAAAATGGTTCACAAGCTTAGTATAGGATTCTGAGGCAAAGAAAATGTCTAGTTCAGCACTGTTCATAGCTTCAACCTGAAAAAATCCATAATATATCCTATAAAGAAATAGGAAGAAAGCAATTTATGACAATACTTTGTCTAGCATTCCAGCCAGTGGAAAAATTACCATCACGTTAGAGATGAAACTATAGCAAAGATCATTTGAGTAGCTTCATCAATGCATTTACCACGAAGTTCTTCACAAAAAATGTTTGTATAGTTTTCTTGCTTCCCTTCCCTCAAATTTTATATCTATCCAACTGCTCATCCTCATACCACCAGTTAACCAACCTTCCACTTTCAGAGTTGGCTTCAGTAGAAACTCATTGAGAGTACAAAGAAAATGCATATATAGTTGGATATATTTTCTTGCATTTGATGTGGGAAATGTTATGCTTCATTGATATTTATAATTTTATAAATATTTCTATATATTTTTAATTTGAATTCTATGTATTCTTTAAAAATCTCAGGATAGATTCCTTAAATACCCATCGTTCCTTTTTTCATCTTAAATCTATTGTTTTTTAAGCTTTACTGGATAACAATATTCTTGGTATTTTGGAATGTGGGGGGTAACCTGCTTTATCTTAATTAATATCCACCCTGTGCATATGCTTCACATGTTTTGATTACAATGTTTTTAAGCCTTTATTTCTCTAAACTGAAAATTTCTCCTTTGTGAGTTATTCTCATGAAATAACAAGATGAAACTAGGAGATGGCAAAGCTACAGTTCTTGAAAAATTAAAGGATGTTCTGTCAGAGAAAAATGTAAACAAAGAAAACAAAAATGAGGAAGAGAATTGAAGTAAAAGAAAAAATAGTTTTTAGGGATGGGAAGGTTTTCCCAGTTTCTTAGTCATATTAATGATTTCCTTTATTTCTTCCACATTTTAAGAAATATTGTACATTTTCAGCTATGTGCTTCACTAACTGCCTCCCTGCAATATTGACTGAGACAGAGCGCAATCACTCACAGGTTGCTAAAGAAAATTCTGGAGAATTAGCCTCTAGTAGAAAGGTTTCTTTCCAACATGCCTTACACCATCTTTTCTGAATGTGGTCATATTAGATATTTCTAACCAGCATGCAAAAGGCCATTTTTTGACTATTTGACTATTGTATATGCTGGACTTCCATCACTCCAACCAGAAGTGCATTTGATAGTGTAACCCTCTCCGTTCATTACAACCTGTCACTGAAAATGGATTGCCCTACTGCTGCAAAACTCATGTTCAATGCATTTTCCTGCTGCAAAACTCATGTTCAATGCATTAGCATAAGAGTAACAGCAACAGCTGATATAAAACCATCTTACTAAATGAGAACAACAGAAAGGTGGGATGGATGGCTAAGGAATTACTTAGAATAAAGAAACTAGGCACTTTTATTATTTAAATTGACATAAAATTGCATGTATTTATTATGTACAACATGATGCTTTGAAGTATATATATATACATTATGGAATGACTAAAGCTAGCTAATTAACATATATATTGCCTCACATAGTTATCATTTTGGGTAACAAGCCAAATCCTTTTAGGAAATCTGATGAGTAGTATGTGATGGTTTCACATCTTTCTGAAATAGAAATGGCATCTTACTCTGGTTCAGCACTCACCCCCATGACCAATCTTTATACATTATCACCCATTCCAATCCATTTCTGATATCCAAAAGTGCAAATGGCCAGTCCCTTACCATAACTTAACATCTAACTGCTTTCCTATTTCTTACTACCAGTGTACCAATTCCTTGATGTCATGAAGTGCTATGGTCTCTTAAAACTTCTCCTCTCCCAAGCTATTATCTCTTTGGTATATAAATTGCTTCTAACTATTTTAGTATCTAGCTAAAATATAACAACATTGTTTTTGTTACATAATTTTATAATTACCCTTTGTTTATAATACATGATATTAAATTTATATTTAAAACAATATATAGTTTCTAAACAAATTGATTTAAATGAAAAAGCAATTAAATATAAAGAACAATCTTAAGTAAATAATACCAGGGTATTATATAAATACAGAAAAAAATGCAAGATCATACTCAATACCTGACATTTTGGAAACACCTGTTTAGTGGAAATACTACCTGGAAGATCTCAGAAAAGTTATGTAACTTTCATGTGCATCAGTTTCCTCACCAGTAAAAGAGGAATTTGACCTCAACAATCTTTCAGTTAATGCTAATAGCCACCAATACATGATCAATTTTATGGGTCAGACTTTTCATTAAATGCACTATACAGAAATGCTCCCTTAATCTAACCTCTCAACAACCATGCAAAGAATATACCATCACTCTTATATTACAGATCGGAAAACAGATCCAGAGAGATGAAGTAAAATTTCTAATATGCCACAGTTTGCTACTCATGTATTAAGTGATTGTGGTTTTTGCTTTACTTTTAATGGTAAAAACCACGATTGCTTTTGCACCAACCTAACAGCTTGGGCTCAAGCTCATGTTTGTCTGACTCCTAAACTATGTCCCCAACCTCCTGAAGGTAGCTCACACACCCTATTGCAGTACTAATGGGAACTATTATCCTGTCAAATCTTTCTAAGGGACTCAATTCCCTGAAGTTGTATTAACAGGTAATATAACAATATATTGTTATATATAAGTAATATAACAAAGGACAACATATTTTCACATTAAGAAAACTGTAAAATCGAAAAAACAATTTATGGCATAAAATGTAGAAAGTACAGAATTATATAAAGAAGAAAACTTCCCTGTTCTTGTCCCATGCATGTCTGTTCAACTGCCTAACCCAGTCCCTGGAGCAGTGGGTCCTCAGCAAAAGATGAATATTTTTAATTTATTTTTGATTAACAAATAATAATCATATATATTTATGGGATAAAATGTTTTGATACATGTATACATTGTAGAATGATCAAATTGAGCTAATTACCATATTTATCTCAAATTTTAATCATTTCTTTGTGGTGACATTTAAAATCTTTTTAGCTATTTTGAAATATACAATGCATTATTTTTAACTACAGTCGTCATGGTGTGAAATAGACCAGAACTTATTCATCCTGTCTAACTGAAATGTTGTACCTATTGACCAATGTCTCCCCCTTCATTCTCCCCCATCTTCAGACTTTGACAGCCACCATTCCACTCTACTTCTATGAATCCAACTTTTTCAGATTCCACATGTAATTGAGATTGTATGGTATTTAACTCTCTATACCTGGCTTATTTCATTTAACACAATGTCCTGTAGATTCATTCATGTTGTCACAAAACACAATTTCCTCAGTATTTTAAGGCTGAATGGTATTTCATTGTGTATATATACTACATTTTTAAAGTTTGTCATCAGTTGACAGACACTTAGATTTTTTTCAATATCTTGACTACTGCAAATAATGCTGCAATGAACATGGAAGTGCAGATATACCTTTTAAATATTGACTTCAATTCCTTTGGGTGTATATTGAGAAGTGGAATTGCTGGATCATCTGATAATTTTTAGTTTGATTATCTACATAATGTTTTTCAAAATGGCCATACTAATTTATAATACCACAAATAGTATTTAAGGGTCCCCTTCTCTCCACATCCTAAGACTTATCTTTCATCTTTTTCATAATAGCCAGTGTAACAAGTGTCAGGTGATATCTCATGTGATTTTAATTTTTTAAATAGGGTTATTTGTTTTCTTGTTGTTGAATACTTTGAGTTCCTTGTACGTTTTGGACATTAGTCCCTTATCCGATGTATGATTTGCAAATATTTTCTCTCAATCTGTGAGCTGTCTCCTCCCTATTACTTGTTTCTTTTGCTGTGCAGTTGTTTTTTAGTTTGATGCAATCCCATTTGCCTATTTTTGCTTTCATGGCCTGGGCTTTGAGATTTATATCCAAGAAATCACTGCATATACCAATGTCATGGAGCTTTTCCTCTATGTTTCCTATGAGTAGTTTTATAGGTTCAGGTCTTACTTTTTAGTCTTTAACCTATTTTTAGTATATTCTTCTATAATGGGTGAGATAAGAGTCCATTTTCTTTCTTCTGCATTTGGATATCCAGTTTTCCCAGAACCATTTATTAAAGAAACTGTTCATTCCCCTCGTGTGTTCTTGACAACTTTGTCAAAAACCAATTGACCATAGATGTGTGGGTTTATTTCTGGGCTTTCTGTCCTATTCCATTGGTTGATCAGTCTGTTTTTATGCCAGTACCATGCATTTTGATTACTGTACCTTTGTAATATATTTTAAAATCCAGTTGTATGAACAAAGTCTCCTGCTTTGTTCTTTTTGGTCAAGATTGCTTTGGCTACTCAGGATCTTTTGTGATTGCATACAAATTTCAGATTTGTTTTTTCTATTTCTGTGAAGAATGACATTGGAATTTTAACAGGGATTGCCTTGAATTTGCAGATTGCTTTATGAATTAAATATTTTCTGATAACTTTAACTCTTCCTACAACCCCTGCTGCCCGTTTAGCTGACATAAGAATAACAAGAATACTATTAAGCACCTACTATATCTAAACATGTTGCTTGATCATTTAATTCTCATAACATCTTTATGAGACAAATACTATTTTAATTATTACAATTATTCCCACTTTATAAAGATACTGAGGCTTAAAAGGCTAAGCAATCATCTTGCCCATGGACAAGCCATTAATACACAAACTTAGATTAACACTATGACAAAGCCTGCACCCTAAAATCACTAGTCGGTACTGCTTGAATGGTACTAAATTGGATGAGTTTTCACAGCCTCCAAAAAAGCATCCCAAGTATTGCAATATACCCCATATTAGTGCCCTAACCCAGGTCATCTTGGGCCTTGGCAATAGTTCCAAATTATTTTTCTTTTAAACCTTACCAGTGAATACTAAGGCATCCATATTAATTGAATCCTAAGAATAAACCTGGAAAACCAGAGATTCTCATGTTAGATATGGAGACTAAATGTAACCTTGGATCTGCTTTACTAAGAAAAGCCTGACAAAAATGTATATAACAGAAAGAAAAGTTATATATCAAAAGAGAAGCCCTAGGAAAGAAAATCAGAACATGACTCCAGTTTTGTTTTTCTAAACTAATCACACTTTAAATTTTGGGTTTTTTTTTTCAACTGCAGATTATCACTGATAACAATAAGGAGTTGTCCCTCTTCATTTAAATTGACCCTTCATCTATAACTAGACCCAATCAAAACATGGACACAGAAAACCCATCATTATGCAGTGATGACCAATAAATTCTTCAGTATAGAGAGATGTTATAACACTGCATCCAATTATATCAAAGTCTACTCTCAGGAACAATGAGTTAGACATGTCCAATCAATGCAGCAAATATGGAGAGCAGGTTGCTAGGACAACCAATAGAAATCACCAAATAGCCTAAAAGCTGAAGATTTTACTATAAAATTTTCAAGAAAAAAATTTTATAGATCTGTCTCAACATTAAGCTTTTTAACTACATATTTACATATAGTACAAATTAATGTAATCATTCAATGTTGAATTTAATAAAAGCTGTTTTAATATGTTGAGATTGAGAAGAAAAGATTTTGATCAATAAACCTGGAAAGTCATTTAATGTCTAAATGATTCTACAAATGAATAAATTATTTAAGTTATCTCTGGAAAATTCAAAGTTACCCTGAAAATTCAATCGATAGTACGTATGATAGTAAACACAATTCAAACACATTCAAATTTGGAGAAAACATTTCTCAGTGCATTGGTTGTCTTTCCTCATTCCAAACAAATCCCCTAAGTATTTCTAAGGATTAAATTCACTTTAAAGCCACTTGACAAATGATTTTAATGAAATATTCCAATATGTACTAAGAGTTATACCAAAAAGTCAACAAATTGTTGGTGAGTGTGCAAAGATTTTCTATGTCAAGCATCTCTTTTAAATAAGATGTTTATATTCAATTTTTAAATGAGTCCAAATAAACTTGCTCACTATGAAACATTCAGATAAAGTTTCTAAATCAGCCTTGCTTTCTGAAAATGAAAATGTTTATCTCTAAGATTTAACTGTGGGGAAAAAAAATGTAGTCAGTACAGATAATAATTTGAAAGAAAAAATAATTGGCAGGCTACTTTTTATTCCAAACTTCCCCATTATATTTCATTGTGATTTGAAGGTGATTTTAGCTTCTTAAGAGTCTGATCACTGTTACACCAATTGGATTGTCTGTCAGATCCTGAGAGCTGTCACCTAACAGGACAGAGCTGTCATCACTTAAAGATTTCAACTCTTCCAGGCCCATCAGGGTATCTGAGCAAATGCTGAGAAGGGAAGAAAGCTTATGCAAACAGGTTTTAATAAAAATTTAAGTAAATTCTTTAAGTGCTCAATCAAAATAGAGATTATTTAAAGGATGTGACTTCGGAACCAAAATAATATGAACCCAACTAAAGTTTCAATGTAAAATAAATATAACCCTTTTAATTCAAATAATACCAGTTTTCCACTCACCTGTCTCATTGAAAGTCTGGGTTTGATTCCATGCTAAGATTAACCTTCCTGGTGAATCATCACCGAGTAAACCATTTCAAGGTTTTACCTTCCCATAAGAAATGCTTATTTTGGGGAACATATGCACTAAAATAGCTAAGAGTGTGTGTTCTGTAGTAAATTCAAATGTTCGCCACCATTATCATCCATGGAACCTCAGGCTACCTACTCAACCCTCTTAAACTTTAAGTCTGTCTCTTTCCAGGGGTTTGTGAAACAATAATTTTAGAAATCTATAGTGTGGTTATGAGGATTATGAGATTCAGGGGTACATATGCAGGTTTGTTATATAAACTTGTATCACAGGTGTTTGTTGTACAGATTTTATTGCCCAGTTACTAAGCCTAGTACACAACATTTATTTCTTCTGAACCTCTCCCTCCTCCAATAGGCCCCAGTATGTATTGTCCTCTGTGTCCATGTGTTCTCATCCATGGGTCCATGTGTTAGCTCCAACTTACAAGTGAGAACATGCAGTACTTGGTTTTCTGTTTGAGTTACTTTGCTAAGGATAATGTCCTCCAGCCCCATCCATGTTACTGCAAAAGACATGATCTCCTTTTTTATGGCTGCATAATATTCCATGGTATATATGTACCACATTTTCCTCTATCCAGTGTGTCATTAATGGAAAATTTAGGCCGATTTCGTGTGTTTCCTATCATGAATAGTGCTGCAATGAACATTCACATGCATGTGTCTTTATGTTAGAATGATTTATATTTCTTGAGTATATACCCAGTCATGGGACTGCTGGATCAAATGAAAGTTTGTTTTTACCTATTTGAAGAATTGCCACACTGCTTTCCACAATGATTGTACTAATTTACATTTCCACCAACAGTGTCTAAGCATTCCCTTTTCTCTGCAACCTTGTCAGCATCTGTTATTTTTTGACTTTTTGAAAATAGCCACTCTGACTGGTATTAGATAGTACCTCATTGTGGTTTTGATTTGCATTACTCTAATGATCAGTGGTACTGAGGTTTTTTTCAAATATTTGTTTGGCCACATGTATGTCTTTTGAAAAGTGTTCATGTCCTTTGCACACTTTTTAGTGGAGTTGTTGGTTTTCTCCTGCAAGTTATTTTAGATGCTGATTACTGGACCTTTGTCAGATGCATAGTTTGAAAATGTTTTCTCCCATTGTGTAGGTTGCCTGTTTACTCAGTTGATTTCTTTTGCTGTACAGAAACTCTTGAGTTTAATTAGATCCAATTTGTCAATGTTTGCTTTTGTTGTGATTGCTTTTGGCATCTTCCTTATGAAATTTGCCCATTCTTATATACTGAATAGTATTGCCTAGGTTGTGTTCCAGGGCTTTTATAGTTTTGGGTTTTACATTTAAGTCTTTAATCCATTTTGAGTTAATTTTTGTACATGGTTTAGGGAAGGAATCAAGTTTCAATCTTCTGCATATGGCTAACCAGTTATCCCAGCACAATTTATTGAATAGAAGTCATTTTCTCATCACTTGTTTTTGGTCAGCTTTGTGGAAGTTTAGGTAGTTGTGGGCACATAGGCCTTATTTTGGGGATATCTATTCTGTTTCATCGGTCTATGTGCCTGTTTTTTTGTATCAGTACAGTGCTGTTTTAGTTACTGTAGCCCTGTGGTATAGTTTGAAGTCAGGTAACATGATGCCTCCAGCTTTGTTTTTTTTGCTTAGGATTGCCTTGGCTATTTGTGCTCTTTTTTGAATTCTAAAACAGTTTTTACTAGTTCTGTGAAGAATATCATTGGTGATTTGACAGAAATAGCATTTAATCAGTACATTGCTTTGGGCAATATGGTCATTTTAATGATACTGATTCTTCCTATCCATGAGCATGGGATGTTTTTCATTTGTGTCCTCTGATTTATTTCAGCAGTGTTTTGTAATCCTTATTTTAGAGATCTTTCACCTCCCTAGTTAGCTGTATTCCTAGGTATTTTATCCTTTTTGTGGCAATCATGAATGCGATTGCATTCCTGATTTGGCTCTTGGCTGTTGTTGGTGTATAATAACCCAAGAGATTTTTGTGCATTTTGTATCCTGAAACTTTGCTGAAGTTGTTTATCAGCTGAAAAAGCTTTTGGGCCAAGACTATGCAGTTTTCTACCTATAGAATCATGTCATCTGCAAATAGAGATAGTTTGACTTCCTCTCTATTTCAATGTCCTTTGTGTCTTTTTCTTTTTACTCCCTATTCTCAGCTTCTGCCCTAAAACTCCCCAATGGAATAATCAGTGAAATTGATGTTCCTCACTCTTTCTTTAGGGCATTAAGTACATTCTTTTGAGGAAATTTGAAGAGAGACTCTTCTGTGTTTGGGTCAAGGCTGGGCAAAAATGGGACTTCTAATACTATGTTGAATTGGATAATTTGTATTACTAAGTTGCAACGATTTATAAAATTTAACTGGACAAGTTAGAAACCACAGTATTCCAGTTCTAATCCCACTTATGTTTACTGTCTATGTGATCTTAAGGAAAACATACCTTCTCTTACACAAGTATTTTCTCATCTCTGAAATGAGAAAAATAATATCTGCCCGGCCTAGATATCCAAAGTGTGTGAGAATCCAATGAGACAATATGTATAAAAGTGATTTATAGATTATAAAATAAACTATGAGGTATTTTGTATTTACCTATGACATAAGAATTCGTGTTTCAACTATCAATCAAATAGCCAAAATGAAAGGGAAAGTAGTTCTAGGGCTTCTCCTTTTCCAGATTCAATCATGCCAAAAGGTTTAGGTCACCTTAGAAGCTTTTCAAAACTTTGTCTTACGGCCTGGAGCCAAGAAATTTGATTATTGCTTCTTGTTTCAGCCAAGAATAATTTTTGAACCAAATTATGACTTGAAGGAAAAGCAGACACAGCATATTTATGTCTTGCTAGACTCACCTCTCCCCGAAAAGCTTCAGGTAAGTTGTTCTAACCTGTACTCTTTCTCAAAGACACAAACATATAGTAACAAGATTTCTCCGAATCTGATTTTGTAGCTTTACTAGTGAACAAAATCTATCTAGAAAAGGGAAGTGAGAAGGGATAGTAAAAACAGAGGATGTTACCCATGTTAGAAATGGAATCGAGTATGGGGAAAGAATAATGATAACTTTCATCCTATTAAAAAAGAAGTCAGAATACTAGACAGAAACTATAATCTTCAAAATGTTACATCAGCCAGGAAGGAAAAGCAAGGAAGACAATCATACTCCTTTAGTAACAGGGAATATAGTGTAGTGGTTTGTAGCACTGGTTTTAGAATTTTTTTATCCATTTGGATTCATATCAAGGTCTACTTTTTACTAGGGCAGATTCAACCTCACCAATATTTAGTATCCTGATATGTACATCAGAGAAAATTATGCTAGAAGGTTGGAATGGCTGGTGAGGATTAAATTAGATATGACATTATGCTTATGCTTAGCATGGTGCCAGGAACATACCGGGTACACAGTACATTGATGCTATTACATTTAAGGTGAGGGTGATGATAAATCAGAAAACATCTCAGTCCTTGTATTGGTTTCCAAGAGCTGCCATAACAAATCACTGCAAACTCTGCGGCTTAAAATAACAAAAATGTATTCTCTCACAGTTCTAGGGACTAGGAGTCTAAGATGTTGATAGGGCCTTTCTCTTTCTGAAGGCTCTATGGGGAGATCTGTCTCATGCCTTCCTCTTAGTTGCTACAGTTGCTGGCAGTCCTTGGTGTTCCTTAGCCTATAGACTTTAAATTCTGTCTCCATTGTCACATAACCTCTCCCTATTTGCCTGCCTCTGTGTCTCTTATTCTCCTCTTCATATAAGAGCAGCAGTCATATTAGATTAAGGGCCCAACCTACTCCAGCATGACTTCATCTTAATGTGATTATATCTGCAAAGGCTGTATTGCCAAATATGATCACACCATCGGTATCATGGGTTAGGACTGCAACCTATCTTTTGGGGGAATATAATTCAACCTACAACAGTTCCTGAGGAACAAAATTAGATAGAAATAAGATGCACACTTTGGGCATTTCCCCAAGCCCAATTCTGTACAACACTAGAAAATACTGCATTTGTTTCTAGAACGTTTCTAACCACAACATTGGAAAGTTCCTAACATTGGAAATCATTCAGAATAATGCCCAAAACAACTTAGAAAGTGGAAGGATTGACTAATAAAGAAATCTAACAAGAGTAAAATAAGTGGCTGGGTGTGGTGGCTCACACCTGTAAGCCCACCACTTTGGGAGGCTGAGGTGGGTGGATCACGAGGTCAGGAGTTCAAGACCAGCCTGGCTAATGTGGTAAAACCCTGTCTCTACTAAAAAATACAAAAATTAGCCAGGTGTGGTGGCATGCTCCTGTAATCCCAGCTACTTGGGAGGCTGAGGCAGGAGAATCGCTTGAACCCGGGAGGTGGAGATTGCAGTGAGCTGTGCCAATGCATGCCAGCCTGAGCAACAGAGTTAGACTCCATCTCAAAAAAAAAAAAAAAAAAGTAACGTAAGTACAATTGGCCAAGAAAAATCTACAGGGAAAGAGTGAGAAGTTCATTTCAGCCCAGAAAGCATCAGAGTGAGATATCCATAAAGGATTAAGAGTAACAAAAGAGATGAAATTAAATGAAATGAGTCAAGAGATTGGTCACTCTAACAACAGTTGTAATGAATGATAGAGGAAGTGATCTCCATTTTTTAAGCATTAAAAATGGGGAACATGGTATAGGAATGAATTATGGCTCAGCATGCTGAAGACATTTATTAATTCCTTGAATTTATATAACATTTCTATAAATGAGAATCTAAATACTTCATAAGCTGAATCTTCTGCACACCTGGTGATACAGATATGGGGACCATTGGTACTCTCATCTTTAGGATAGAGAGCTGGACTGACATAGTAAAAAGTAGGGTGATGATCCTTTACCCCTCCTTCAATTCACTCTCTTCTAGGCCTCACCAGAGCATAATCTCCATAACTGATTCCATCACTAGCACTTCCTACTAAAAAGAGAGATGATGATGTCTACTCAACTGGTTGTCCTGAAATGTAAGTCAGTCATTCCACATAAAACCCTTAACACAATGACAGGCACATGGTGAATTCTCCATATGTGACAGCTACCTTCTTAGACTACAATCTTCATTTCCAAACTTTTGTGGTTTTCTTCATTGTGACCAAGTAAGCCAGCTCTCTATCAATGAAGCAACACATGTTTGTTGAGTACATGCTATGTCATCCAATAGAACTACTGTGTATCCAGCACAGAGCTAGGCTGAATAAGATATCTACAAATAAGCACAATGATTTTTTCCAGCTTTATTAAGGTAGATTCAACAACTAATTATATATTTAGGGTGTACAACTTGATAATTTGCAATATATACACCTTGTGATATTAGTCACCACAGTAAGGCTAATTAACAATGAACCTTCCTTGACTCAGAAAAGTTTACACTCTCACCCTATACCTGGCTGCAATTCCAGCCCTAAGAAGCTAACTTTATTATTTTTGCTTATGCTTCAACATAACCTTGAAGTATATTTTCTTTTTGTTGGCATATTAACTTTTCAGTAAACAAAGCAATGTTAGGAATCTTTTATAATCCATCTTTCTCACACAAAACGCTCAGGTAGATATACGCAAATAATCTGAAGTCATCAAGGCAAGGCTAGCTAACTACTATCCAGAATACCTCCAGTGGCTGGTCTCTCTGTGGTACATTGAAAAAACGCACGTGTGTATCGTATGTGGGAACATACACTCTGGAATGAAGTTTGAGGGAGGGCACACTCTCTTGGGAAAAAAAATTAAGTCAGGGATTACTAATCTTATCTTTGCATGTAGCCCTCCATTGAAGTATGGGGTAGAATAAATTTTGGGTTGGACTCTTAGTTTGCCATTATTCACGTTTTACTCTTAGGCAAATTACTCTTTTTTAACCACACTTCCTCATATAAAATTGGACCTAACAATATACTTCACAGTAAGTGTCTAAAAAAAATAGGTACCAGATAATTCATAGAAGAGGGGATTGTTTGCAAGTGAATCTCACCTATTTCTAGAAAGAAACAAATGTAGAGAAATTCGCACTGAAATGTTTTGGAGCTCATTTTCAAATTCTGCCTTCCGAAAAAATGAGAAAAATATGAATAAAGTCAGGAGCACATATCTCACTCGTAACATTTCCCAACAAGAAAACTAAAATTCTTTTTAAGAACTCATTCAAATAGCGTGAATACACTGACTTTACATTTTTTTCCCAAGGCTTTGAAAAATAACAAGAATTTGGTTGTGTAAAGGAACTGTGATAGATTTGAATGAAACTAGAAATAGAACAGTACAGTTAATCCCGTCCTTTGTTTATAATGGAAGTCTGCTAACTTCTGAAAGTTTTGTGCATAATGCCAACTAGAGAAAACTAAATATATTTTGGCAAAGCACACGATAATATTAGCATTTCCTTCAATTTTCTAAATCTTTCTAGATTTTTCTAAATGATTACAGTGGTTTTTCAACTTTTTAAAAATTTCTGCAATTTGAAAGCATAGTATAATATTTGTTAGACAAATGTTTCCTCCTTTTCTCTCCAAGTATTTCACTTCCCTTCCCAATTAATGAAACTATATAGAAAATAATATATATCTTTCCATATTTTTGTCAAAGATCATAAAACACATATATACACATATATACATATGCACCCATAAATATTTATATGCCCTCAATTAAATCATGTACTTTCAAACAATGATGAAACCCTCCTCTATGGAAGTCATGCAAACCTCTTTTTTTAATTTTATCACCCTTATTTATACACATAGTGAAAAAAGATTACATAACACTGAATTTATAATAAAAAATTATCTTTTCTGTCTCATCCTTTCCCAGTCCCCAAGAATGCTGGCTAAAAGTACTTTTTCTGTAAGTTACCTCTACAATTCTAAATATTGTTCTTATATTACTTTTTATATTTACCAGTTTTTGATATCAGTTATTGACTCTGGTTATGATTGATGGGGATTAGTTCTCTTATACCTACCTCTTACCTTCCTTTCCCACCCTACCGAATTGCTATGTAATTATTTTAAATGAATATGACCATTATAACTACATATTTTTCACTGTCAAGCAGTATAGTGTGAATATTTTGTGTATCTTGTAGAAACTTCTGTTTTTTGTTTTTCTGGAGTTTCTAACTGCCTTTTTTTCTAGCCTTTCTTCTTCTCTCTTCCCCTTCTCTTTTTAACATGTTTTTAATTCTGCCCAACCGCAGCAACACATCTGCTGCTATTCTATTGACTATCCCTTTTCCTTGGAAACCCATCTACTGATATTCTCTATCATTACAATCAAGACTTTGGCTCACTAGAGTTGATGCACAGTTGCTATCCTGGAACTTTCTTTTACCATCCTCTTGGGTTTGATCTGATATTTTCTAAATTATTTATCTCCCTTTGTCTTTCTTATTCTTTCAGGAGAACACCCCCAAATCATTTCTTAAGAATAGATAAAACTTAAATTTGAGTATTTGTCCCCTGTAAATATCTCTCACGCCTTATTGTTTGGCTGGTGGGAGAATTCTGAGTGGAATGTTATCTCCTGTGTAGTTGTGAATGCTTTGTTTCCTGTATTGTAGCATGTTGTAGCTGCTGCAGTGTCTGGTGCAAACAAATTTTCAGTCCTTTATAAGCAACCCATTTTAACTCCACGCAAATTTTAGTATTTTCTGTCACTGATGCTTTAGAATTCCAAGCTCTTTGTCAAGCTTGTATTTTAAATTAGTATAAATACTTGTTTAGGCCCTTTTGAGCCCACTCAGGGTTCAACATTTTTCTTTTGTTATTACTCTGAAATGTACATCACAGTCCCCTTTATTTTCTCTACTCTCCCTTTCTGAAGCTCTTTGCCTAGCATGTTCAAACTCTTGGATTCATTCTCATCGATATTTCAATCTTTCTCTCTTTTGTGCTCCACTGTTTAGAAGATTGGGTTAACCTACATTCTAACCCTTCTGAAATTTTCATATTAATTTCTAATATCCCTTTCTTTCAGCCATTCTGTTTATAATAGTCTCACATCTCTATTTGGAGGTTTTGGGGGGCTATTATTCCTGTTTTATTCTGTTCTTACATTTTCTCTTATTGATCTATTTGTTTTCTCTGCTTACTTAGATCTCTCCTCTGTATCTGAAGGATTCCCCAAATACAGCATGATTATAGGTTGTCTGTTCACATGATAGTAATCGGGGCCTGGCATGGTGGCTCACACCTGTAATCTCAGCACTTTGCAAGACCAAGGCAGAAGTTTTTTTTGAGGCTGGGAGTTCAATACCAAAACACCATCCTGGGCAACATGGTGAGAATGCAAAAACATAAACATGAAAGCGATTGAAAGCCTTGAGCATTTGAGCAGGACTTCATTTTAGGATGATTAGGTGGGGGTATTTTAATAACTGGTCCCTCCTAATGACATTTTGCCAAGATTTTGTTTTCTTTACACTCTAGAGCCATGCAGTTGTGGAGAAGAACTCTTCAGTCTTCTATGAGTGTAACGTGGTGTTAACAGTAGGGGGATATCACAGAAAATTGATGGCTGATAATTGTTACCAGCCCAACAAGTACATGTTTGTGATTTAGCAAAAGGCCTACCTTCCTGAAGACACTTTATATCCAACTGTTAGAAAATTGTCATAATGAACTCATTTGGCAAAATAAGGCCTTTTTCTGTCACTTGCCAAAAATTGTCATGAGGATACAACACTATAATGTCAACAGTGGCTTTTAGCATTGAACAGTGCACATCCAGGTCAGTATACGTGGTGGCCTCACTGCTGGTGTTCTGAATTTGGGGCTTCTAGGCAAGGGAGAAGCCAGTAGGTACAGATTGTTAATTTTCCCTATTTTCAGTGCCACATTAAATGTTTTTGTCTGATAAATCTCTAAGTCCTATACCTCCACAGTACAAATTTTCTAGGGAAGAAACTTATGCTCTCATAACTGGAGAGTAGAAACCCAGTGCTGTAGCTCTAATTGCCTACACAGCAGTAGAGGAGTGAGAGAGGACAGTTTTGCTTCCTGATTTTCAAGTGTTCATTCCCAAAATGTCCCTTCTCCTATTCTATTCGTGTCTTTATTCTTGCCAATTTTATTTTTTCCCTTCTTTTATTATCACATTAGTGAGGACAGAGAGAAAAAAGGAGATAAACATCTGTGATCAGTCTATCTTCTTAAACCTAAGGTCACTCATGACTTTTATAAGAGTAATTAATCACAAGATAAAACAGCAGATAATGGAACAAAGAACAGTAACAATCAGCCCGTGATCATTCACTGAGTACATATTGTGTCCAGGCCCATCATACGCCAGATCTCATTTGGTCATACCATGATTAAACAATACACGAGCTGGGTGTGGCAACTCATGCCTGTAATCCCAGCATTTTGGGAGGCTGAGGTGGCCACCTCACTTGAGGCCAGGAGTTCAAGACCAGCCTGCCCAACATGGTGAAATCCTGCCTCTACTAAAAATACAAAACTTAGTCGGGCATGGTTGCACATGCCTGTAAGCCCAGCTACTTGGTAGGCTGATGCACTGGAATTGCTTGAACCTGGGAGGCAGAGTGTTCCCAGACCAAACCCAGGGTCAGGCTGCTTATTCTTGTGTCCCAGTAATGAGAAGCAGATGACCTGAGAGAAAAGGGAGCTTATTTCTGTAACTGGTTACAGGGAGAAGGCCTGGAAATTATCACCAGACCAACTCAAAATTACAAAGTTTTTCAGCGCTTATATACCTTCTGAGCTATATGTCTATGTGTAAGTGTGCATTTGTCTGAAGACATAAGTGATTAATTTCCTTTAATCTACAACTAAGATCTGAGTCTTGAAGACCTTCCTCTGGAGCCTTAGTAAAATTTACTTCATCTAAGTGGATTTAGGTGCTGAGGTGATTACACTTATCTCGTCTCCTGCTAAGTCAGAGGTTTGGGGAGTTCCTTCAGACCCCCGATAAACTTGTTTGTGGAGGTCTGGGGAGTTTCTTCAGACCCCCAATAAAACTTGTTTAATCCTAAACAGGTTCTGTTAAGAATTCCTTCGTTATTTTGTCATGCTTTAAGGCTCAGGAAAGGCCTAGGCAAAACTCTTGGTGGGCTTTTATTACATTCCAGCCTTCGTATAAAGGCACTGGCTCTATCAGCTTTTAATATTTCATTTAACCACTCAGTCAATGCTGAAAGAGTTGTTATGGAGGCCTGCGTTAGTGGGACCTGGCCTGCTGTAAGAGGTTGCAGTGAGATGAGATCGCACCACTGCACTCCAGCCTGGGCAACAGAGCAAGACTCTTTCAAAAAAAAAAAAAAAAAAAAAAAAAAAGAAAGAAAGAAAGAAAGAAAGAAAGAAAGAAAGAATACACAAGGCATATATTCTTATTTATATTTTAGGATGAAGAAACTGAGGCTACTGAGGAACACTAAGTAAATTTCCCAGAAATAGACACATAGTAAATAATGAGCAGAAATGAGGTCTCTCTGGCTCCAAATCATATGTATAATCCACTAAATGGCATTGCCTCTTTTCTTCTCAGGTTTAACTTGAAGTCACTCTAAGTTTAATCCACATGTTGTCTCAATTTTCAGTGCTCTAAAATGGTAACTGAAATTTGAAGTCTCACTATGAGCTATTAAGCCACATTATTAAAAAATATAAAACTACCACAAAAAACCTATTTCAACTACTTTCCCTATAATAGGAAAGAAAAATAAGACTGATTTTCAGCCAAATGATTGAAACATGCATTTTCAGCTTAATCTTTCATAATAACAAGAATACCCAATTAACCAGAACACTTTAGTAACCAAGAGTTCTAGTCCAGGCACGGTGGCTCACGCCTGTAATCCCAGACTTTGGGAGGCTGAGGTGAGTAGATTGCCTGCGGTCAGGAGTTCAAGACCAGCCTGGCCAACATGGTGAAACCCCATCTCTACTGAAAAATATTTTTAAAAATTAGCCAGGCATGGCTGCATGCGCCTGTAGTCCCAGCTACTTGGGAGGCTGAGGCAGGGTGAATTGCTGGAACCCGGGAGGTGAATGTTGCAGTGAGCTGAGATCACTCCACTGCACTCCAGCCTGGGCAACAGAGTGAGACTCCATCTCAAAAAACAAACAAAAAGACTTCTGATAATAAAAGTGTAGCTGTAATTTGGATTCGTACCTCTTTAAAAGTATGACTGAACTATCTGTAGGCATTTAAAAAAAATTAAATGTCAGTTATATGACATAAAGCAGAAACATGTAATTTGAGTTTGTAAATCATCTCAGCAGGCTTTTTTCTTCAATGCAAACACGAAAAGCATCAAAACCATCAATGTGATGATTCCTATTGAGACTAGAAGTATCAAACAGTGATGCAATAATATGCTTCGCTGCTAATACCTTTCTCTATTTACCAGTGAATTATATAGTCTATTGAATTCATTCTTCTTTTTGAGTAGCTCATAAGGCAAAAAGTCTTAGGCTCCCATGCTACCAACTGGTTAGGACAATTTCTGACACATAGTAGGTACTCAATTGTTTTTTGGATGAATAGCTTTCAGAGCATATACTAGCAGAGAATTTATAGATATTTTTCAAAACCCCGTAGA
This sequence comes from Homo sapiens, assembly GCF_000001405.40. NCBI lineage: Eukaryota > Metazoa > Chordata > Mammalia > Primates > Hominidae > Homo > Homo sapiens. The sequence continues at coordinate 75,908,811 of NC_000013.11, read as the reverse complement.
TACCCAGAATCTCAAATCAATGATTCTTTAATCTTAGCAGAATTGCTTGGTGGGAATAACAAGATTACAAGCTAATAACAACATTGAGAGAGAAGATTTGGGAGTGATGGGGTACATTTTAGAGCTCTTCAAACTGGGTATCTTCACCTTCTGCCCTTAGGAGATTAAATGTACCACCTATTATCTAAAATGGTACAACTTTCTTAGGGGCTCAGATAAGCTAATCTTAGGAAAGGGAAAGGTGACTACCAATTTGAACCTGTGCTGAATATTAGTATCTTATATATTCTGCTTTTGCAGATGAGGTTCTCAGAGGAATTGAAATAATGAGGCCGGGGAGCTTATAACAAACCTATGATGTAAGTATTATTACTTTCTTCACTTTACAAATGAGGAGGCTGAGCGGCAGAGAGGTTAAGTAGCCCCAGGTCACAGAGCTAATAAGTGGCACAGTCTGGATTCCATCGCAGGAAATCTGACTCCCCTCCCAGGCCTGCCAACTCATGTGGCTGAAGCCCAAGGTGGAGCAGAGCATATGGGAGATGTTGAGTAAAGTGTTTTGGGACCAAACTGAAGCGGCTTTGGCTTCAGGTTTGTGATTAATTCCACATGAAAAGGCTAGCTAAGGAGAAATTTTTGAACATGTGGCAAAGCATAGGACATAGTTATTAATGCATCATTAATAAAATAAATGAGCATATCCCTTTGTTTGGGTAAGATACTGCTTATTCCCGTAAATTTCTGGAACTCTTGCCTTTTTCCCATTTTCTGCCTGGATCATAGAAACATGAAAGATTACAGCACAATGAGGACTTAAGATTTAATCCTGGCTTCTGCTTAAAATTCATTCAGCTGCAAGAGAACAGAGAACATTGCTCTCACCCTAACAACTTGAAAAAAGTCAAATCTTCAAAATTATAACTTCCCTTGAGCCCATCAGAGGCCTCAGGTGAAATATAAAGGGTGACAACCTCCTCCAGGGATAAACAAGATGCATGACTGTTTCACTTTTGGCAGATCCTGGGAGGAAGAAAAACTACAATAAAAGCAAGTAAGACAAAAAAAAAGCTGCAATTGTAATGAGTTCTGAGAGGCTAAATGTGGGCTAGCAGAGGACCAGTTAGGAATCCCTGAGAGCCCCTGACACAGGGGAAACTGTTCTTATTCACAAGGTCTTTTCTGCAGGCCTCCACTGAGCACTAACAGCAAAAACAGAGGGCCTGCAGTGTTTGTTAACAAGAACCCCTCCTTCTTCTCGACAGCCATTATATTAGTCCATTCTCACATTGCTATAAGGAATTACCCAAGACTGGGTACTTTATAAAGAAAAAAGGTTTAATTGACTCACAGTTCCACATGGCTAGGGAAGACCTCAGGAAACTTACAATCATAGCAGAAGACACCTCTTCACAAGGCAGCAGGAACGAGAATGAGAGCCAGCAGGGTGAATGCCAGAGGCTTATAAAACCATTAGATCTCGTGAGAACTCACTCACTATCACGAAAACAGCATGGGGGAAACCACTCCCATAATTCAATTACCTCCCACCCGGTCCCTACTGACAGGTGGGGATTATAGGAATTACAATTCAAGATGAGATTTGGCTGGGGACACAGCCAAACCATATTAGCCATGAAGCCTCATCTACTTCACCAGATGGTTCTCTCAGAAGCAAAAGCTTTATATGGCAGTGGGAGGGAAAGGAAACATCCCCACCCCATCCTCACCCCAGTTCTCGGGCTAAATCCACTCTTTCTCTGAAAGGGGTTGAAGCAAATGTCACCTGTCACTGAGGAGGGGCAGGTCCTTCCTGTTCCCACCATAAGCTTGGCAGTGAGTAACAAGCCATAGGCGTCTCAGAGAAGTTTGGCTGAGGGAGAAGTAAAAGGAGAACAAACCTTTTGCCTTGCGGGGAGAGGAGGATCTCTTGGCTTCAGAATACTGCACTGATACAGAACAGAGATCAGTTACCACTGGGAGGTGAAGGGGGAACAATCTCCCAAACTGTGGGAAAGCAGGGGTCGGGATTGGGGGCTCATGCCAGTAATCCCAACAATTTGGGAGGCTGAGGCGGGCAGATCACTTGAGCCCAGGAGTTCAAGACCAGCCTGGGCAACACGAAGAAAAGAAACCCTGTTTCTACAAAAAATACAAACAATTAACTGGGCATGATGGTGTGCACCTGTGGTCCCAGCTACTCGGGAGGTGAGAGAATCACTTGAACCTGGGAGGCAGAGGTTGCAGTGAGCCAAGATCGCACCACCGCACTCCAGGCAACAGAGGGAGACTCCATCTCAAAAAAAAAAAAAAAAAAGTAGGAGGTGATTCAGAGACAATCTTGGTAAAAAAAAAAAAAAATCAGAACTGTATTAGCCAATGAAATTAAGATATAAGCAACTGTTTTTATAATGGATTCAAGGCTGAAATGTCAGTGGTGCACATTTTGGTTTCCTGACCTCATTTGTATGATTCTGCTAGTATCGTGGTATTTTCACTTCCAAAGAAGAATGTTCTAAATAGAATGCAATCTTCTAGAAATTTTCATAGCCTGTTATTTTCTAATTTTTGTTGTAGACAAAACTTGCTCTTTTAAAAGTTCGTTGTATAACTTGAAATGTTTTACTTAATGAAAATTACTGTTTGAGAACTTTTAGAATTTTTAAACATTCCTGGAACAAATCACTCCCCTCTTGTTCTTTTTCTGGCTGCTGACCTTTCCTCTATCTAGATCACACTGAAAGAGGGTGCGAGTGGAGCTTAAAAACCTCCTTAGAGTAAGGTTTTCCAAGACCTTCAAAGCTCCCTGCTTCAAACACACCTCTCAACAACCCTCAGCTGTGGATGGCTCATGAGCCACTAAACGGAGTCTAGCCCTTCAGTTTCTTGCTCTCTCAACAACAAATTCATAGCCAACACCAAATCTCTTGCCCAGCTCTCACACTCCTGGTACTTTCAAAGAAAGTTTTTGTAGTGCAAATTTCACTCATTTTTGTTCCTTAAAGTTTACTAGTAGCAATGTTTGTTTGTTTGCTTGTTTGCCAAATGAAAGAAATCTGAACGCTTTTGCAAAATATCATCTTAAAATGTGAATTTTAGAAAGACTTAGCAAACAATTAAAACACATAGAATACATTCTACATACAACTCAGCAAAGTATTTTAAATGTGAAATTTTAATAGGTTTGGCAGATACCTATGTAGTACTAAAAATATGCCTGATACTTTTCTAAGCACTGTACAAATACTAACTTAATCCTCTTAATAATTGAATAAATAAATATTGCCCGTTTTACAGATGAATAAACTGAGAGGCAGAGAAGCTAAGTAACTTGCCCAAATTCACACAGCTAGTAAGTTGCAGATTTAGATTTCAAACCCAGGTTGACTGGCTGCAGAGATTGTGCCTAGTTGTATGAAAGAGGGAAATGTGGAGGTTTTACTGGGAGAAATAGTCAGTTTCAAAGGCTTTGTAGGAAAATCAATAAGAATCGTAGTGCTCTTAATATATTCAAGCATCAAAGCCAAAGGAGCATCCATTAATATTTTTAAAATTCAACCCTAAATGTCTATGACTTCTCTCAGACCTCAATTACTTGTGACTATTTGTCAAAGAACAGCACATAGAAATACTAGAGGGAAACTAGCATTTCTTGATATTTAGACATAAACATGCCAAATAAATTGCAGTCTTATATGTATAATTTGTTTTCTGGTTAGACTAAAGATAAACTGAGTTATGATTCATAGAACTACCCAAATAGACAAGGCATTCTCTTGCAGTGAAATGGATATTTAATCCAGATTCCTTTAGAACCATTTGGTACATCCAAGTAAAAACCGATGTTAAAACCTAGAGAGGGAAGGAGACTCCCTTGTGTATTTCTACTGGCTACGGAATGCCAGCATGTTCCCATGTCGAGAGAGGGAGGGTGTTCTGTGACGGCTTTTTCTGTGACAGTTCTAACAACTTAGGTTTTCTTTTCATAGTCTTGTCTCCGTAAATGTGGTTGTAAATATCAAACTAATAAATTTTAAATTAGTATTCCATATAAATTGTGAATTTGTGCAATATTAAGTAGATCTTGGTGTTCATAATTAGAACTCACACATAGTAACTCGCAAGAAAGTAAGTTTTTGAGATGCATAGAATGAGTCATGTTTGTTTCTGATCTCCAGAATTATGCACAGCTCTCAACCTAAATCAACAGTTAATTCACTGAATGACCTGCAGCTAATATCTGATTAATGACCCTTAATTACCAGGAATCACTTTAAAAATATGAAGAGCTGCATAAATGTTAAGGATATTATCTTCAACATTGTCTCTAGTGCTTTCTTACATACAGGGCAAACAGCTCTTTATTCCCATCTATTTTTACGTTTATCCTCTCTTGCAATGAACAATTCTTTCTATCTTGTAATCTTATTTTCTTATTTTTGCAGCTCAGAACTACTTCCATCCAGTGCTGGAAGAGTGTGTAGTATCTCTGCATGCGGAGCTATAGGGGACTGTTTTGACAGCTTGCCAAGCCATGGATCGTGCTTAGAAAAATACATAAAGAATAAAATGCATTAGAGAGAACAGGAAATCACCCATAAATGGCATTATCTACCAACAAGTCATTAACCACCTCACCTCTCCTGGAGGGAACCAGATAAGATACCTCATAAAGAAGATAGGATTACAAGCAAGGGCAAATTAAGTTGAATTTAGCTACTCTGAATATAAAATACAGCATTCTAAATTACAAAGATATGACTGTTGTTAAGATAGGTTATTGTCACTCTTGCCACTCTGTAATGCAGATGTTAGCTGCTCCTATGTATCCCTACTTGCCACCTCTGTTTTGCCCAACCTTGACTCGAACACAGAAAAGCCTCTCCAAATTTCCTCAAAAGAATGCACTAAAATGCCCTAAAGAAAGAATGAGAAATGTCAGTTTCACTGATGATTACTCTGTTGGTTAGTTTTAGGGCAGAAGCTGAGAAAAGGGAGTTAACAGAGCACAGACAATGACCAACTTGATCATTAAGGGAGCACATCTCTTTCCTTAAGTCTTCTAACTGCCAAGCTGCCGTGGAGCTTCCTACTTTCGATCCTCTCTTCCCTTTGCATCCACCTTGTTAATGCCTTCCCTTTCCCTCTGTGACCCATACAAGTTTCCTTTCTTGTATTATACCTTGTGGTTAAGGGACTGTCTTTTACTACCTGGACATGACCATTGGGTCTCACTCTCCATCCCAAGACTTATTGAATTTTTTTCTAAAAAAAAGTGCTCTCCCCAAGAGAAATTCTGGCAAATAAACTTTTATTTATCTTATTAATCTCTTTTGGAGATGGAGTATATGCATTGATTTGTTGTAGCTAAGCTAAAAGAGAAATTTACGGTTTCTAAAAGAGAGTTTGGTTTCTGATTTGAACATCCCCACTAGTCCCCCTCCTTCTGCTTCCCCATCAGTGAAATTTCAGAATGGGATGGAAAAATAACCACTAAGCAAAGCCTGCTCAAGCTTCTTTTCACCAGGGAAGCTGGTGTCTGCTTGAGGATCTCTCCTCTTGAATAGACCAAGAACTCTGGGAAATCTAAGGCTAAGATGTCAGTCCGATTTCTGTACTCAGTTGTGGAGGGCCAGAAAATCAGTGGGCTATGGCCATAGCTTCTCCCGGATACAAAGGTAGTACTGGTCCCCTGATGATGCAGCAATCCATGAGGATTGCATGGATTGTTGAAGGAGAATAATCCATTATTATATATCTTCAGCAGAGAGCAATTCCATGGAGGCATTCCTTCAACACATATTTACTAACTGCCCATAGGTACGAGGGAATATTTGTTTTATCTCCCTTGGTGACTGGGCAGCATTGTCTCTACTCTCCTGGCACTGACTCTCTGATGACAAGCAGAGTGTGCCCAGGGAGTGTGCTTTTTGGGTCTCAGTCACCAAAAAGCAGCAGGGCCAGTGCTTCTAGGATAAAGTCACGTTTGATCTCATGTTGTCTCTCCTAATGTTCCTCTGGCATGTTTCCATTTTTTTTATGTTTGCTAAATTTAATTCATTTTTTTCTGTCTGGTTTTTTTAAAATAACTATTAAAAAACAACACACTTGTCTAGTTTGAGCTTGCAACATATTCAGTGTTATTTGACAAAGAGATATTGCCATCTGCAGAGAAACATTTGGACACTTCCAAGACGTGCAGGTACTCACTAGCCTCATCTTATAAAGGTTTTCAGTTTCACCCACATAGCATTATCCATTAGAGCTTGCTCTAACTTAGACTGCAGAAATAACACCGAGAGACTAACAGCATCTTTCTTGAGGGGCTTGAGGTACAGAGGTGGCAGGGACTATCTACAGTCCCATGACCCAGTTAAAACATCGTTTCATGCTCATGTGCCTTTAAATCCAGAATCTCATTTTATTCCAACTGCCAACTGGCCCTGCTGAACAGTGGTATGGAGGGTAATTACAGTTAAAGGCAGCAGCTCACCATGGGTCCTGGGAGCTCGGGACACTTTGTAACCACTTCTGTCACCTCCTGAAGTACACCAATTGTCCTGGGAAGAACAGGAGAGTAGGGCCAACGAGGGTCTTCAGTGCTAGGAAGCAGCTCTACTCCCGTCTGACCCTGCCATTTGGGAGGCCAGATGGCGAGGACCTAGAGCTTTCCCTCCAGCTGCTCTGGCCTTGTGCAACATCCAGGTTATCTCAGCAGAAGCCAAAGAGCCGCAGAGAGCCTACCTGGAAGAAAGCAGGCATTAAGAATGCACCTGTTCCGCCAGCTCAGCACAGCAGCGTGACTGGAGATAAATATATTTGGTAAATAGCATAACAACTGCTGTTACCACGTAGGGACACAACGGTGCTTGAGAAACATGAATAAATTACTTGGACTATGAAAATGAAGAGTCACAACTACAGAGAGACTGGTGGCTTGACAATGGATGGCAGCAGTGGGTGAGATGAGCTGAACAGCTCATCTTTGAGAGCATGGGATAAAGTTTTTTTCCTTCCTTGGAAGATTTGAAGAAGTGGAACAACAGGAAGGCCATGGTCTCTGTTCTCTGCCCATAGTTACACAAGCTATGCTGCCAGCAGGCGCCTGGGCTGAGGCAGAGTGAAGGGATTAAAGGCCTCTGTCTCCAGATCCAAAAATAGCCATTTGCACTGAATGTGCAATGGATTTAACAATGTTATTTCTTCTGAACATTCACTTTCCATTTCAAGTCAGATCCTGTGATCTCAGTAGAACTTTGCTATCTCTCTTTGAATGGCAGAATTCACACATAGAGTGAAAAGAATTTCAACACGGACAGATTGATAGAGCTTTCACTTAAGACAGAAGTCAATTCAAAAGTTGGTGGATGGATGTATTAGTCTGTTTTCATACTGCTATAAAGAAATACTTAAGACTGGGTAATTTATAAAGGAAAGAGGTTTAATTGACTCACAGTTCCACATGGCTGGGAAGGCCTCAGGAAATTTACAATTATGGTGGAAAGAGAAGCAGACACTTTCTTCACAAGGTGGCAGGAGAGAGAGTGTGTGAAGGAGGAACTGTCCAATACTTATAAAACCATCAGATCTCGTGAGAACTCACTCACTATCACAAGAACAGCATGGGGGAACCACCATCATGATCCAATCATCTCCCTCCCTCAACACATGGGGATTACAGGTCCCTCCCTCAACACGCTAGAATTACAATTCAAGATGAGATTTGAGTGGGGACATGGAGCCAAACCAGATCAGTGGAGGTTGGGACTTACAACCTAATGAATTTGGGGGATGTGTGTGTGTGTAAAAGTGAGAGCGTGTGTGTGTGTATGTATCCCTACTCTTTTTATTGGATCAAAGGAGATTCTTAGCTATTCAGATCACTGATGAAGTAGTAAAATTTCTAGTGGAAACAATGCCAGTTAACTCCATTCATCATACATGAAATTAATTGTGTATCCTTTGGTTTCAGGACAGAAAGTTCTAGAAGCTCTTCAGTCTGTTCACTGCCCACAAAAAGGCTGCACAGCCATTCCCTTATATATTCCAGCTCCCTCCCTGGAAGCCACTTTTTCAAGACTACTTCTCTTCTTTGGGACTGATTTTATTATTTGCCAGGGACATCTGCTCCAAACCCTCTGCTTATTATTTCTAATGCAAAAGGTGAACTACTTTTCTAGAATGTCCATTATCACTTGTTTCTTCGTTCTTTGTGAAATTTTACCTCCTTCTCCTAGTGGTTTGAAAATCATCAGTTTACCTGACCTCTCCATGCCCTGATGTGACACAGCAATGAGGCCAGCTCTCCTCAGGAACAGCTTCATTTCTTCGCACCTACTAGCTGTTGTGAGATGTGACGTGTATTATCTTTAATCCTCTAACTTAGGGAGACAATCTAGCAAAGAGGTTAAGAAAACAGGCCTTAGGATCAGTTTGCCTGGGTTCATAATCCCAGTTTCTACTTTAGCTGGCTGTGTGGCTTTGAATAAGTAACTTCATTTTTCTGTGCCTCTATTTCTTTATTTGGAAAATGGGGATAATAATAATGTACTACCTCATGAAGTGTTTGTGGAAATTCAGAGTTAACACAATGTAGGATACTTAGAAAGAGCCAGGCAGATAGTAAGTGCTCAAGAGATGTTACCTTATTATCCACATGACAACTTTGCAAGGTGTATGTTACTGCAATATTCCTGGAGAGGTTATGAGGCTATATGGAGAGTAAATGGGAAAGGCACATTTTTTTGAGACAAGGTCTGGTACTATTGCCCAGGCTGGAGTGCAGTGGTGCAACCTTGGCTCACTGCAACTTCCGCCTCCTGGGCTCAAGCCTTCCTCCCACCTCAGCCTCCTGAGTAACTGGGACTTCAGGCATGTGCCACCACACCTGGCTAGTTTTCGTATTTTTTGTAGAGATGGAGTTTTGCTATGTTGCCTACGCTGGTCTTGAACTTGTAAGCTTTAGTGATCCGCCCTCCTTAGCTTCTCACAGTGTTGGGATTACAGGCATGAGCCACCTCGCCCAGCAAAAAGGTCCATTTTAAACTTAGAAACATTATCCAGAGCCTGTGCTCTTGCCACACCTCACTGAGATAATTCAGTAACACAGCTAGATATTTGATCTAAGTCTTGATCAACCCCTGGACATAATTAAAAAGCAAGCAATGTAATAGCAACAATTGATGATAGTAGTTATGGGTATAAAATTTTGTGTTTCTCTGCTATAGAGCCAACTTCTCTACCCCAAGTCTTTCAAAAGAGAAATGAGTATTTTTTTTTCATGGCTTTTGCATTCAAGGCATGGAGGGAAAAGGAACAAAGTAAGAAAAGTGAGCCAGGAAGGGATGAGACTGTGACGGCTGTGGAGAAGAGAATTTCTCATTTTTCTTAAGGGAAAAGGTGTCTTAAACTTTAATTATTTTAAAAATAAATCTTTCACTGTGTGCTTTTGTTTCTTTTTCTTTTTGTTTTATATCTGGGTTTTGCTGAAGTCTTTTAAGATTTTTTTCCTAGTGATTACATTCATACCTACAGCTTTGCATAGTATATTTAATCCTTTGTTTCATTTAAGGAATAGAAGTGATTTTAATTGTCATAAGCTATGAATAATTCCTTTAGGGTTTGTGCTGCAGGGATCATTCTTTAATAAGTTTTGCCTATTCAAAGTCACAATGGCATATTTGTTGCAGTAGCAATTAATTCCAGACAATGACCAAAGATGAAATTAGCACATATATTTCACCTTTCCTTTTGCCTCCCTCTACTCTGCTTCCTCATTTAGCTGATAATATTGTCTTTTTAGTGTTTGCTTTGTAATGGTAAATATACCTGTACCTTAGCCAGTGGATTACCAAGGGTGAGGCTGTGGGAGCTGTCCATGCCAGATGCTTTTAATAAGAATGTGCACTGTTCTTTAGAAAATTTTAAAATGATAATAAAACCATATATAAATCAATCTGATGATTATTACTACCATGCACCAATAATACAATATCAGTGATAAAATATTCTTCCTTGTAAGGGCAGTCCACCCCGACTGTCAGCTTCCCCCTGTATATGCCTCGATCAGGCACTTCACTTGCTGTATCTACACTCTTTTCCACCGTACCAGATAAGAAACACAGAAAAATAGCAATAAGCCATTCTTCTCTTCCTTTATCCCTTTTCTGTATTTGTCAGAACTTATAACATTTGTGTTATAGTCTACAGCCATACTCCCCATGTTTGTTTTTGTGAAATTATATGGATTCAGTGCCTCCCACAAATAATTGTTTTTATATATTAACACTTATCTCCATCTCCATTTCAGGTGAAATTTTCCTGGGGATAGCATGCCCTTTCAAGTGATAGATTTTTTAATCCATAAAATATTCTAAATACATATATTTTTATGAGTGATTTTCTCCATTTTTCCTCTTTGGGACATTGATTATGTGTATCACCTTTGCCTACCTAGTATTTTTTTTCTCTAACCTTTTAACTCTCTGCTTCCATTTCAATGTGCTCATTTTTACCATGTCTCTTTCCGTGTTTCCATCAATGTCTAATCTCTGTTGTGCTGCTAATAGTTTTGCCTTTGGTTATGCAATGGCTTTATTTATTTATTTTTTGTTGTTTAGTTTTTGCTTTTACATTTTCCTGATCTCTGCCAACTCACATTTCATCTCCTTGTACTCTCTAACCACCTCTCCATTAGTCCTTATGTTTCTGCTTATACTGTTACTATATTAGAGTGGTTGCCTTGTTAATTTTTTAATGAATAGTGAAATATCTGCTTACAGTTTTCATCTGCAATGTATTTTCAGTATATATTCTTCATCAACAATTTGTTTCTCTTTCCTTTGTTTTTATAGTAATGACTTTATGTATGTCTGTGCTGATTTCTTTTCCTTTAATTTTTCATCTTTGATTATGGTAATTTAATTTTTTTCATAAACCAGTTATACATACGAGGGTCATGTGGGGGAAGGAACCAGGACAGGGTTAATTAAGGATAGAAATTTTCCTAATATCCCCTATTAACATCCATTAGCTCTTTGAGAATTTACTTTTCCCAGACATAAAGTTAGTCACCTGTAGGGATATTTATAATGTAAAGACCCCTGCCGTTCCAACATGATCTCCAGAAACATAGCCTGCTTCGTGCAGTTGTATTACCAACATAACTCTTCAGCTGGCCCCCTTCTCAATTCTCAGAACAAAACCAAGCCAAAGGAAAACGTCCATGACAGCCAGTGAGCCTGTTTCCAATTTCCAAACTGAAGCTTTAGTTTTGCTTTTCTAAGTGAGGCCCCTAACTTTAAAAAGCACATATATTTCTGAGATCTACTGACACAGACATCCTGTCTCTAATTTCCCACATCCCTCTGTTTGACTGCCATCATCATTATACTACTCTGCTTACTCTGTTGTTTAGAATGTATGCTATCTCCCACTTTTATTGGAGGCAGATATTATACTTTCATTCATCATTCTTTTTTGCTCCTTTTGGGTAAGTCAAAAGGAGAGGAGGGAAATGCCACTTTTATAGTACCATCTTCAAAATGGAAGTCACAGGATCTTCTTATGAAAGAACCAATTCTGCAACTAAAAATGACATTTGGAGAGCAATAAAAAGAAAAGGAGAAGAAAGATTCAACTTCCCAGTAGAAAATCTGTTCTTCTTAAAGAAAACCAAGTAGTCACTATACATTCTTGGGTCCTTATTTACTTTTCAAACTGGCTACTATTTCTTTCAGAAAATCCATGACTAAATCATCTTGTTTGGCAAAACGTGTTAATAAATAAAGAGGTCATTTTACTTCAGTCCCAGAGATCTGTCATTGCAACAGGTACCAGAGACCAATAACAAGTGCCATTTTTAAAGCTTTCTCTTAATAGCAATGAGACTATGACTTATCCCATCATAGTATTAAATATATTGTTTTTTATTTAAAAAGAAAGTTATAAAGTGGGAACACATTATTCACCAGAGAGAAAGAACCAGCTTACACACATTCACAGTCAGCTTTTTTTATTTGTGGGTGGCAGAAAGACGGTGAGACGAGAATTTTCACTGCTGAAAGCATCACGAAATCAGCTGTCACACTTGACATTAAAGTTAATTGTCGATAAACGAAATCTTCTGACAGATTTTCTGTAGCCAATAATTTAGTAAAAGTGCTCTGCTTTGAGAAGCCAAGAATGTCAGCTAAAGGTCAACAACCAGGGCATTAAAATGCCCCCTTTCTGTAAGAGAGTGTTAAAATTGGACTATTCCTGCCTCAGTCTAAAACTGAAAAAAGCAAACAATAGTTACTAAGTGCTCCTGCATTCCAAAGTAAAGGGCAAGACCACTTCTACAGAACTTGCAAAGTAAATAATAAGAAGTCAGTTTTGCCGTGATTCACTCATCAACCATCTTGAGGGTATAAAAGGATTAACGTTAAAAAGTGGAGAATTACTGCCAAAAGTTATGGGGTGCTATAATACTTTCTCTTTCCATCACAGAAGAGGGGAAGAGGGTAAGTAAAAGAAGCTTCTAGTGACCTGCTAAGGGAGTTTGATCTTGACCACCTGGTATATGTAGTGTCCAAGACTAATGTCAGACCATGCCTGACATTAGTGAGAAGCTGAAACCTATAGCCACGGAGCAGAAAACTTCACTAGGAACAAAGTACCCTTCTTTGTGAGACAAGGGCAGGTGACTGTTTTCTGTGTGAGATTTGGGTCACATGGAGAAAAAAACCTACCTGGAGCAATCTTAAAGAGGACTGATGGGAAGATTGTCTGCGACACACTGCTGGATATCCCAGAGGCTGAGGCTCAATTCATGAGAATTACAAATAGAGAGCTCCAGTGGGAGTACTTATATGGAAGCTACAATCATAGCACCTGAAATAAAGGTAATCACCCTTGGAGCCCTGCCATAGACAAAAGGTACCAGATTTCATTCCCTATTCAGAGGCAACTACTGTTTAACATTACCATAGATTCATTTTACCTGTTCTATAACTTCATGTAAATGAATTTATACAGTATGTACTCTTTGGTGTCTGCCATATTTTGCTAAGAATAATGTTTTCGAGATAACATCCATAATGTTGCATGTATCCGTAGGTTATTTTTTCTTATTATTACTGAATATATTCCATTGCATAAATATAGTTCAGTATGTTTATCTGGAAGTTCTACAGATTTTGTTTCTACATTTAAGTCTAATTTCCAATTTGAATGGTTTTATGTGTGGCACAAAGTATGGATTAAAGTTCATTATTTTTCATGCAGTTATCCAGTTGTTCCTGAAAAATTTCTTGGAAGGACTCTCATTTGCCCAGTGAATTATCCAACAACTTTTGTTGCACAACTAATTACCACAAAAATTAGTGGCTTAAAATAACTTTTATTTTGCTGACTATTTTGTGTGTTAGGAATTCAAAAAAAAGCTCTGCTGGGCAGTTCTTTTTGGGGTTTCTCATCTGGCTGCAGTTAGATGTTTCGTGGGACTGCAATAATCTGAAGCCTCAATTGGGCTGGATGTCAAACGTGCCTTCCTCTCGTGCCTGACATGCTGGCTGGTTGCTGGGAGCTCAGGTGAGGGTATCAACCAAAGTATCCATGGGTGACTTCTCCAGCATGGCAATCAGAGAGTAGTCAAACTTCTGACATAATCATTGGCTTTCCCCAAAAAAGACTGACCTAAGAGAATCTGGCAGAAGCTGTGTGGCCATTCATGACCTACTCTCTGAAATTACATCTTGTCACTTCCATATTCTTTTGGTCAGATAAATCACAACCCTATTTAGATTCGAGAGAACCCTACATACTGAGAGAAAGTATATCTAAGAATTTGTGGTCATCTTTAAAACCACAATACCATATATGTGTAGACCTATTTCTGGACTGTATTCTGTTTTATTGATCTACAGTATTTGTCTGCCCTAATGTCACTAGCAGTATCTTAATTACAGCAATTTAAAGTTTAAGTCTTGAAATCAGATAGTATAAGCTCCTCATTGGTAAAATTGTTTTGGCTATCCTAAGTTCTTTTCATTTCCATATAAATCAGCTTGTCAGTTTCTATTAAATGTTTAAAAACCTGCTTAGATTTCAACTGGCATTGTATTGAATCTATAGAACAATATGGAAATAATTGATTTCTTAACAATATTAAATGTTTCAATCCATAAATAGTATATTTCTCCATGCATTTAGGCCTTCTTTTATTCATTGCAGCAATGTTTTGTGGTGTTTTTTTTTCATGTAGAGGTTTATATGTCTTTCATTAAACTTATTCCTATGTATTTTATATTTTTGATGCTACTGATTGTTAGAATTGACTTTTAATTTCATTTTCCTATTTTTCCTTGTTTGTATATAGAAAAGCAATTGTCTTTGTATATTGACCTTGAACCCTGCAACCTGGCTAAATTCGCTAATTAATTCTAATACCTCCAGCATAATGTTGAAAAAAAGTCTTAAGAGTAAATATCTTTGCTTTGTTCCCACACTTAGGGATCAAACTTGAAATTTTGGTTAATTATTTCTCCATTGTTTTTCTGCTTCAATCCCACCCTTCATTCTTTCAGGGACTCTAGTCTCACATAAATTAGGCTGATTGTTGTTGCCTCACAAATCTCTTAAGCTGTTCCTTTTTTCAGGTTTTTTTCCTCTAATTCAATTTGGATACATCACTTTCTTCTACAGTTCTCAGTCTGCTGTTAAGCTCATCCAATGAATTTTTCTTCTTCTCAAGGATTACAGTCCATTGCTGCCTGGTGCCCATCATTTGAAAACAGTTGCTTCATATATATTTGTCTAGATTTACAGTTGATTAGGTTGGGAGAACTAGTCAAGTGCCAGTTACCTTCATGGCTGGAAGGCCCATTGACATTTCATTATCTAAGAGTGCCTGGAGACATATTAGAAGCTAGCTGAGATTTCATCCCAGTTGCAGAAATTAAATAACCACAAAGTTTGAAAGGAAAATAATGAGAAAAAATAATTTTTTCTACTTACACCCTATAGAGTTCAACTCATTCAATATACCAGTCACATTACCATTTCAGAAATGTGTGTGTGTGTGTTTTTATGTGTGTGTACATAGTATAATAAAGAGGGGCTGGGAGCTGAGACTCACACCTGTAATCCCAGCAATTTGGGAGGCCAAGGTGGGTAGATCACTTGAGGTCAGGAGTTCAAGGACTGCCTGGCCAATATGGCACTTGACAGAGCAAGCCTCTGTCTCAAAAAAAAAGAAAGAGGGTAAGTTTGGGGAGCAATAACAATGCCCATTAATTAAGAAATGGAGGAAATGGTGACCTGTGAAATCTTTGATTGTAAGGAATGAAGTTAGAGTGTGTTGGTGCTGGAGGAGCCCTGGGTTTTGGTTCGGTCCCCGCTTTGTTTCTCATTAGCATTATTGAGCAAATCATTTAACCTCTCAACGTCATTGTCTCCTACAAATACAGCTAGATTATAACACTGGCCCCTCCTTTTTGTCGTGAGTAGCAGATGTGAAAGTGCTCTCATTCTCATTTATAGAGGGTTTATTATAAAACTTGATTTAGGAAGTATATGATGTAGAAGAATAAAAACTGTATATCCTACAGCATGGATATTGCCAGCTCTGTCTTCTCTAAGTATATATAATAATAATAGCAGCTCCCATTTGCTCAGTGACTGCTACATGCCTGATACTGTTTTGGAGATTTTAGCTTATTTACTCTCTACAGCAAACTTGAGTGACAGGTATTAACATCTCAATTTTGCAAATCAGGGAACCAAGTCTAAAGAAAATTAAGAAACTAGCTCAATGTCAAATGGCAAATCAAAAAAATCAAACCTAGACTCTTGTGTCTATAAAACCTAGGTTTTTCCTATTAGACCACATTGACCATGGACAGTCATCATTTCTCTAGGCCTCAGAGCTCTCTTCCATGAAATGAGGATTTTAAACCACATGATAAGTATTATTATCCCTTCTCTTTCAACGTGCACAATCACTGCATGTTTTTCTAATCTTATTAAACCCGAGGCGTGAAGAAGCCCAATCTATTTCCAAGTCTATATAACTTGAAAATGTTGAATTTTAGGAGTATATTTGGAATGGTTTTCATATTCAGCTTCTAATCTGTTATCAATAAATATTTCAATCTGAACCATGATTTTTTTTTAACTTATTGGAATCAATTACACAGGCCTTGATGCTCAACATTTTTTCTCCTCTGTGCTGGTCATATACGCAGTGCATTGCTAGCTGTATCATCTGTCCTTACTTGTCATGGAGGTTGAGGAAATGTACCCTAGGTGTGAATATTTTAAGAAGAGACCCCCTGTTTATTCTAATAAGCTGCCTTTTCACTGAGATGGTCTGAAAAACCATATTGTGCATCTGTTTGTGCACAGTTCAGCTCACATTGCAGACGTATATTATTTTACCCTATGCTCACTAGTACTAATCATCACTTTTATCTCTTTACTTTTAATTCCATACAATCCAGGCCAGAAGCATTATCAGTTTCTGACCGTAACCGGGGAGTGGGCCTGAGAAGTGAAAAAAATGAAACCCTTCACCTCTACATTGTCATGGACAAGATGTAAAATGGGGGCGTGGTGGGAGGAAGAACACACTCTGCCTTCTAAGTAGAAGCAAGAGACCAGGCTTGGAAATAGAGATCACTCCACAAGCATTAGTGGAAAGAGGACATACTCAAACAAGCACATCAAATATACCAATCAAGGGACATTCCCTCCACCTCCCTGGCAATCACCACACTCAGATACTAATGGTATGGCTGGAATTGCACTGTGCATATGAAAGGCATAGAAGAAAAGAAAGCATTGAGCTCTAAGGCTAGTGAGGTTTGTGTATGGTGGGTTTGGAGAGAGGAGGGAGCTGCTCCTCCTACAAATGTTTCTATTTGTAGGGAAATGATGAAGTACTAACTGGCTCTTCAGGGCAGACATTCTCCTGGCACAACCTGGAGACCCAGTGGGGACCTACACCTCAGGCTTTTTTGGTCCAAAAAGTCTTTGATATTCTCTAACTTCAGGTCTCCAAGGGTGATGAGAAATTGATGAGTAGTAATGTGATAACTTGGCTGTCAACTCCAAATCATTAATTTCATTCCCTGATTATCAGCCACATGGTCTTAACAAACTTACCAAATTAATGTGTCACTACTGGTCAGTTACTCGTCACCCTTGGAGACCTAAAGTTAGAAAATATCAAGGGCATTTTGGACCAGAAAATCATCTGGCTAAAATGCAATCTTTTAAGACACTCTGCCTTCTACAGAAACTCACTCAATCTCTACCTCCCAGTTGACCTCTTTTTTAATCTCTTGAATTTAAAATTTATGCAGCATCACTTTTCACTGCATGATTGAAGATTCCAAACTCTGAAATGTAATCATATGCAAAATGTTACTAGGGCAAAAGATCAAGGACCTGTATAAGACAATTTGACACATACAGAGGCCAAGTCAGAAAGGCCAAGGCAGAAAATAAATTGCAGCTAGCAAGGGCATGCAGGAGCAGCTGGGCCATGCTTTATAAATACATTAGCAGTGTGAGCAAAGTGTAGACTCCTTAATTGTTGTGGTGGGAAGGGAAATAAAACAAGAGATAACAGCAAAATGGTGGAGATATTAAATATCTCCACCTTCATAAGATACATATTAAATGCCTAGATAGTTTTACTTAATTTTTGACAAAAACAAAAAAGACTTCAATAACTAGAGGCCTAATTCTTACTGTACTTGAATTAAAAAGGAAAGTTAGACTGATGAGAAAATACCTTATCAACAGCCCACTGGGCATTTCTGAATGCTTCAAAATCACTGCAAACTCAATCCATTCAAAACAAAATTCATCATATTTTCATTGAAAATTATCCCACTCCCAAAATACTTGCCATCACTGCCAATGGCACTACCATTCATTTTCCCAAATTGTCAAGTCTTAAAACTTTTGAGTTATCTTTGACTCATTTCCCTCCCATATTTAATGTTCATTGTCACCAGCTTCAGGTTTTTTTTTTTTTTTTTACTTCAAAACATCTCTTGATTGATTTCTTTCTCTGCATCAATTGCTTCCTTTAAATGTTTCATCACACAATTTAACTGTTAAACCATTTCTCGTTGCCTCTTGGGATCCACTCATTTTATACATCACATTTCTTGTTGCGGTTCTTTTTCCAAAACCAAGAAAGTTCTCTGTTTTCTGTGTCATCAACTCTTTGCCCACCAGCATAGTTCTACACAAGATATAAAATCTTATGAGATGTGATTGGCCACCTCAATCCTCTCATCTCTAGTCTAGTCACCAAACCTCTCAGAATTTCCAATTCTTGCCCCCATGAAAGGCACACTGTTTTTCTCAAACACCCAAAACAGACACAAACACTGAATATAAGCTCTGTTTAGACCCAGACTCAGGGGGCCTCAAGTGTCCGAGTTCTGATTCTCATTAGCCACATGGACACCTTTGAGTTTTGGGATTGAAAATAAAAGGCAAGAACATAGGAGAAAAGTAGCAGCACTGACACTTTAAGCAGAATTTAGCTTGGGCCATTGTGCATCCTTTTCTTACAAGATAAGTAACATTGGCTTATGTAGCCAAGAACCTGTGTTCTTGACAGCTTAATACAACAAAGGTTTGTTTCTCTCTCATGCCACAGTCCAATGTTAGTCTATGGTGGAGGGTGGGACAGTAAGAAGTGGTGAGCAGTGGATAACAGGAGAACTCAGGCATCCAGACACCTTGAATCTGGAAGTGCTGCTACTTTCAATGTGACTTTCAAGGCTGCTGAAAAACAAGAAGAGAGAAGAAATGAGGGTCATGCCCAGGAGCTTTACATGGGCCAGGCCTAGAAGTGGCTTATATCACTTTCACCCGTATTCTATCAGACAGATAGTCAAATGGCCCCAAACTAACTACCAGGGATCTGGAAAATATTGTTCAGCTATGCACCCAGGAAAAAGAATAACACAGATATTTTTGAGAACCAAAATTTTCTGCTCATCATCCAAGTTTCAACTCCTTTCTGGCTACTTAGAAACTGTGAAAGGAAAATAAAAATCCTAGGACCCCAAACTCACTATGCCAAAGGGAAAAGTTAAGCTTAAAAGCTGAGTCATGCAAAAAAAACTGCCTTTTCTTTTGTTCCTAAGTAAAATAGCTACAGATAGAAAGCCACAGATCTCCACAGTTAGCCTCCCTCACCCTGACAATGTAAATTAACAGCTTATCTTCATGGTAAAGGATAAGAGGAGACTAGAAATCATCCCCTCCCCCAGCCCATCCTGTAAAGTGCAGATTTACTGAGCACCAGATGAATACCTAATTGACTGTTCCCTTTAACCCCTCCTTTTCATGCAACATGTCAATTCAGTGAGCTCTAATCAAAGCCTCACAAGAATGTGACCATACCTTCTGTATTAGTTCGTTCTCACACTGCTATAAAGAAATACCTGAGACTGGGTAATTTATAAAGGAAAGAGGTTTAATCAGCTCACAGTTCCACATTGCTGGGGAGGCCTCAGGAAACTTACAATCATGCCAGGAGGGGAAGCAAGCAGCTCTTACATGGCAGCAGGTGAGAGAAAGAGACCATGTGCAAGCTCAAGAAAAACTACCATTTATAAAACCATCAGATCTCATGAGAATTCACTCACTATCATGAGAACAGCATAGGAGAAATTGCCCCCATAATCCAATCATCTCCCACCAGGTCACTCCCTCAACACCTGGGGATTACGATTCAAGATGAGATTTGGGTGGGAACACGAAGCCTAACCACATCACCCACCCTCTTTTTTCTTTCCCCTTTTCCCTCCTGTCTGTTTTTTTTCTTTAAATGTTGAAGCCCTCCAAATCCTCTTTAGAAAAACTTGTGGGCCACAGATCCTGCTGTGGCTCATGTCTCTTTTTCTTCGGCACATCCTCAACCTTGGCAAAATAAACCTCTAAATTGATTGAGACTCACCTCAGTCATTTTCTCTGGTTTTACAAATCTATTCTTAGATTTGCCCTCCAATCCATATTTATTTACCCCCAGTTTAAGTCACTAATTCCCACTAAGGAACCAAACCCTTGAGCAGTTTTTACTCATTTTTTTAAATCACATGTGTTACAGTAGTTCCTCTTCTGGATTTTGCCTCTTCTGTTTGGTTTTGACTAGTTTAGCTATGGATAAACCACTGCACCATGACTGGCAGGTTCTACCCTGTTCTCACGCAGCCTAACATTACAGGAGAGTAGACCCTAGACACTGGTGGCTGATTCCTGCGTTTCAAAGGAATAACAATTATCTCAATTATTCCAACATTCATACTCTAATTATCCACATATAGAGTTTAATAGAACAAACTCTGGAATCAGAGAGACCAGGGTTCAAATTCTATAGGGCCCTGTTATCTGGTATGCAACCCCACTGTGGTATCAACCTCCCTAAGCCTCAATTTCCATATCTGTAAAATGCAAATAATAACATTACTTTCAGAGTTGTGAGGGCAGAATAAAAGCTTTGTTAAAAGCTTAACACGAAAGCAGTCCCATTCATCAATTGAATGAAGAGGTCATTTGGCATTGTTAAATTAGCGACAAATTCTTAATACCAAGGAAAGATTCCATAAGGTTAGCATTTTACGCAACAGCAACAAGCTGATGGAGAAGGTGTTTGGAAATCAGGTAATGACCTAGGAAGGTTCTGCTGCAATATCTGAAACCAAAGTTAATCTCCCCCTCTTTATAATAGGCTAGTAAAATGGGATGCTTCTGACTCTGCATCTTTGCAGAGCTTCCATGAAAAATAAAGTAAGTGGCAAGTACCTGCACGTCCTGAGGCAGAGTGGTAAGATCGCACAGGAAGGCCAAAGGACGGGTGAAGGGATTTTCAAACCAATCAGACCAGCATTAATCCACCAGTCACCACCAGGCCATATGCAAACAAACAAACAAACAATTCATTAATGGAGGGGAGAAGAGGCCAGAAAAGAGGGCTTTTCTGGAGAGAGACGTGTGAGGGCTGTGTGCACAACTCTCCCTGCAAAGTTAAAGAGGGGGTTGCTTCCCCTCAACTTTCAGTCATAGAAGCACTCCACCTGGAGGGCCTGGCATGTCCTCTGGGGTGTGAGGGCTGTAGAGGTTTGGATCCGACTCACTTCCACAGTCTGAAGGCTAAGGAACTGATGGAACTGCAAAGGTGAGCAAAGAACATGTAACAGCAGGCAGAGTGTATATTCCCCAAAGCCACCAGCAAGAGAAGGCATTATTATCATAATTTTGCTTGGCAGTTCTATGCAGGAAAGACAGTCAGAAAACACTCAAAAGCTCTAATGAAAGAAAGAACCAGAAAATACATCACAGTCTTGCATCCAGAGGGCAAGAACTTCAGTTTACACTCACACCCGCTCAGAAGTCTACAGCCTTCTTCCCTAATCCCTTGTCCTGCATGACCCAGCACTGGAGGGACAAAGCCAGCCTCCAGTAAAAGGTGAGTGAGAGAGGAAAGGCTGAGAAGAGAAGCTGGCAATGCCCTCCTCCCTCACCACAGACTTCCATGCTCAAAGCAGGACCAACCTGGGGTGAATGGAAGCTTTATCCTGGTTAAAAGTTTAAAGACTTAATGTAGTCTCTCTTGAATGAGACTGCTCTTATGGCTGAAGAATATTAGAAATGCTATGAGACTTGCCTAAAGTTTTGTCTAGTGATGGGAAGATCTGGCCCCTGACAGTATGTTTGAAGGGGCAGCAGGAGAAAGAGGAAGTTGCTTCCTGCTCAGTCTCTAAATGGGGTCCAGCTCATTCCATAAACCAGCATTGCCAGTTGACTTAGCCTGCTCTCCCAACCTCTTGATTTGATCATGGCTCTTGTCCTCAGACCAGACATCTTTAGATATCATATTCATTCAATAAATATTTCTTGAATAGCAACTAAGTGCCAAGTACTATTCTGTTGCACACTAGTAAAAATATCTGTTTTCATGAAACAAATAAATATCCTCTTTGCAAAGCCAAAGGCAACAACAACACATGTTTCAGTCCATCCTCATGAGTTTCAGCTCATGCTTGTGGGTTCCAGTTAGCCCCTGATCACTCTACCATATACCCATTATTACATTCATTTTTCTCTCCTGACTGCTGCCCTGTGGACATTAAGCTCCAGCAACAGCTAGAGAGAGAGAGGGAAAAACAGTACAAATCAACAGACTTACCAAAAGACATACAGACAGACGACAGATCAAGTTTTTCTGCTTAAACCCTGACCATGAAAAAACGGTCCGGTGGAGGTGATAGGGAAGTTGTTTTAAAGAGTCAGGTAAAGCTAAGAAGGTAACATCTGAGTAGAGAGAGACCCAAATGAGGTAGAAAATGAAGCATGAGAGTATCTGGAGGAAAATGATTCTGGCAGAGAGAAGAGGAAGAACAAAGGCCCTGGGTTGGGAATAAGAGTGGGCATGTTGGAGAAACAAAAAATCCTACATGACTGGATCAGAGAGGGAAACGTTGAGGCTACTGGGTGGAGAATTGACTGGGGAGCATCAAAAAGAAACAAAGTCTTGGCAGAGGCTTAGGCTGTAGGGCAGTGGTAGAAGTGTGCAGACTCCATACAGTCATGCGCCACGTAACATTTCATTCAACAACAGATCACATAGACAATGGTGGTCTCATAATATTATTATGAAGCTGAAAAATTCCTATCACCTAGTGACATTGTAGCCATCATGACCTAGCCATGGTAATATCATAGTGCAACACATTGAGCACACATTTGTGATGAGGCTGATGTAAACAAACTTACCGAGCTGCCAGTTGTAGAAAGATCTAGCACATGCAATGATGTAAAGTACATAATACTTGAAAATGACAATAAATGGCTGTTACTGGTTTATGTATTTACTATGCTTTTTATCATTATAGAGTGTATTCCCTCTACTTATTATTTTTAAAAAAGGTTAACTGTAAAACCGTCTCAGGCAGGTCTTTCAGGAGGCATTCCAGAGGGCATTGTTTTCGTAGAGATGACGGCTTCATGTGTGTTATTGCCCCTGAAGACCTTCCAGTGGAATAAGGTATAGAAGTGGAAGATAGTGATATTGACGATCCTGATTTTGACCCTGTGTAGGC
Source organism: Homo sapiens (assembly GCF_000001405.40). NCBI lineage: Eukaryota > Metazoa > Chordata > Mammalia > Primates > Hominidae > Homo > Homo sapiens. Next base: position 75,885,703 of record NC_000013.11, on the reverse strand, counting down.
CTAGGCTAGCATGTGTGTTTGCGTCTTCGTTTTTAACAAAAAAGTTTAAAAAGTAAAAAAAAAATAAATGTAAAAAGAAAAAAGCTTATAGAATAAGGACATAGGCTGGGCACAGTGGCTCACATCTGTAATCCTATCACTTTCAGAGGCCAAGGAGGGTGGACGGCTTGAGCTCAGGAGTTCAAGACCAGCCTGGGCAACATAGTGAAACCCTGTCTCTACAAAAAGCATACAAAATTAGCCAGGTGTGGTGGTATGCACCTGTAGTCCCAGCTACTCAGGAGGCTGAAGTAGGAGGATCACCTGAGCTCGGGAAGTTGAGGCAGTGAGCAGAGATTGTGCTACCGCATTCCAACCTGGGCAATGGGAGTGAAACCTTGTCTCAAAAAAAAAAAAAAGAAGAAGAAGAAGAAGAAGGACATAAAGAAAGAAAATATTTTGTAAGACTGTACAATGTATTTGTGTTTTAAGCTAAATTTTATTACAAAAGAGTCAATAAATTTAAAATTTTAAGTTTATGAAGTAAAAAAAAGCTACAGTAAGCTAAGGTTAATTTATTATTAAAGAAAGAAAAACATTTTAAATAAATTTAGTATATCCTAATTGTACAGTGTTTAGAACGTCTACAGTAATGCAATGTCTGAGGTCTTCACATTCACTCACCACTCATTCACTGACTCACCCAGAGCAACTTCCAGTCCTGCAAGTTCCATTCATGGAAAGCACCCCATATCATTTTGTATCTTTTATACGGTATTTTTACTGTACCTTTCTTATGTTTAGATACACAGATACTTACCATTGTGTTACAATTGCCCATGGTATTCAGTACAGTAACATGCTGCATAGGTTTGTGACCTAGGAGCAACAGGCTGCACCATATAGCCTAGGTGCGTAGTAGACTACACCATCTAGGTTTGTGTTAAGTCCTCTCTGTAATGGGCACACAGCGACAGAATTGCCTAACCATGAATTTCTCAGAATTTATCCCCTTCATTAAGCGATACCTGACTGTATATACTTTGAAAGTAGAGGTGACAGGAATTATTGATGGAATGAATATTGTTGTGAGGGAAAAGAGAAAAATCAAGAAAAAACCTACAAGAATCCCTGTCCGCAAGGAAACAATCTGTTGCTTGATATTTCTAGAGTAAAACTTAAACCAGGCCCTACAAAGCGAAGGAGCATGGCTCTGTTTTAGAGCATTGGTGAGGACTAGTTCTATACACGCTCATACTCATACATTCTTGCAAACTCCCTTAATCATTCGAATAACTGTGTCTTCCATCCTCCTCACTCAGCCGTGAGCTCCGGAAGGGTGGGGATTATTCTTATTCATCATTTCTTGCCCCACTCCACTTAGTGCAGTGATTTGTGGAGAATAGGGTTTAATGAAATTTTTTGTGTTGATTTTGCTTCAAAAAAGATTTGAGGCCGGGCATGGTGGCTCACGTCTGTAATCCCAGCACTTTGCGAGGCCGAGGTGGGCGGATCACGAGGTCAGGAGATCGAGACCATCCTGGCTAACATGGTGAAACCCCGTCTCTACTAAAAATACAAAAAATTAGCCGGGCGTGGTGGCGGGCGCCTGTGGTCCCAGCTATTCAGGAGGCTGAGGCAGAAGAATGGCGTGAACCCGGGAGGCGGAGCTTGCAGTGAGCCGAGATAGCACCACTGCACTCCAGCTTGGGCGACGGTGTAAGACTCCATCGCAAAAAAAAAAAAAAAAAGTTGAAACATACAAACTGTTGTAAACTTCCCTAATTCCTTCAAATCACATTACAAAGTGGCTTATGGTTTTCTTTTTTAGAATGCTAATATACGCATTTGTTTATATATGCAAATTTTTTATCTTTGGTAAATTTCAAGGACTTGAGGGTACACCATGAATTAAAGATTATAAAGGAGATCCTTTTATTCTTGCCATTTACTTCACAAAAGAATTAGAATTTATTTTAACACAGTATATTCATATGTTAAACAGATTTTAGGCAACTAAATGCTAAGAGAGACAACCAAAGCCAATTCAATATCTTACACATATTGGATATTAATTAATACAGTTAATTAAAGCAATTTGAAATCTCCTTTTCCTGATTCCATTAGCATTGGCTTTTTCAACTAATAAAGAATTTTTCTTAAGTATTATGAATTGTTATGAAAATCAGAAATTGCAGGGGCATTTATGGAGGAGAAATAATTTATTCATTAATTACTAAAATTCACTGACCATAAATTTGTCACCGAAATAAAACTGTGGCACTTATGCCCAGATGCACTCATAAATAACTAAATAATTAAACTCACAGCCAAAGAACAAAAGCCGCTCAATGGGCACAATGAAATCCAAATTAGTATCTCACAGGACTAAAATAGAAAATGTAATAAAATTATGCTAATCTGCATGTGACCCTGTCAAAGCTTTTATGCTAGCAGTTTCCAGAAATTCCACTTTGTTTTCCAAAACTGAGTTCCTGTTCAGTGTCCCTTAATTGTGGCAAAGTATTTGAAACATTCCAAGGCATATGTTGTCCCTATCAACACTGTATCGGTTGTGACAATGAGGACTGTGATCTTCCAGCTCTCTGAGGACATCCTCCCCTAACTTCTCATTTTACCAGCTTCGGCCCAAGCCTCCTCCACCAGATACAAAGCTAGGGGAAAGAAAGATGAAGAGATGAGAACCAGCATTATTGAATACCTATGATTCACTAATAGTAATAACTGCACTCAACACCTGGCTTAACTATATTCACTTATTTAACCCCTATGATATATTTTTCTCCATTTTCAAACAACAAAATTGACATCAAAGGTTTAATCAGATTCCTCAAAGTCACCCAGGACCAGAGGTTTTGTATCTAGCTTTTCTTAATTCCAAAGTCCATATTTTTGTTTGGCCTAAAGATAAGACCTCAAGTCCCACACTCATTCTGGACATCCTGCTCAGAAATCCCTAGAAATCTATAGCTCTGTGTTGAGTCCACTCTGGATAGACCAGCCTGCTCAGAGGGTAGCTGCTCCCTTTTTTTCATGAAGCTGTTTTACTCAGCAACCTCATCCTGTCTTTGGAAAACAAATCAGTGAATATATTGGTTGTAACCTAGAGACCCCTGACATATTAGAAGCATGTTGATTATGAAGGGATCACCCGCATTTACTGTGTTCTTTAATGTTATATGAAAATATGGGGAAACTGGCAAGGTAAATTCACTGGAGGAGCCCTTGAATAATGAGTCAGATATCAGAAGAGTGAGTAAATGCAAAATAATTAGTTACCATTTCTGGCTTCTTCCTGCCTCTGCTAGTTTTTTAAAAAAAATATCCAGGCTTGGGTCCATAGAATTTCAACTTCTTATCTTTGCCCTCCTACTTAACTAAGTCACCTTGGCCAAGACCTTGACCTTGTAGAGCCTCTACCTTATTTGCAAAATTGTGTCAATTAAGTCAACTTTACATAGCTGCTAGACACTCGAACAAGAGTATGTGCACCCAAAAAGAGTCCAACAGAGTTAATGTAGCCCCCATGTATGTTTTTCCTTGACCAGCAGAGCAGTGTTTTTAAATATGAATTTGAACTTAAGAGGTTAATGAATGTCCCAGTCGGGCACAGTCCCCACCACTCCCTATTGTCATATAGCGGCAGCTCCACACATTGACACTCTCTGCCTGGACCCCTAGGCATTTAAGCTTGCATCTTATATGTTTGATAGTCTTCTGTAATCATATGGCTATTGTAAATATTGTGTATTGTTTTGAGGATAAGAATCATATCTTAATATCTTCAGATCACAAACATATATACAACAGAATGTCATGAAGATAGTGAGCTCTAAATGGAAGTTTCTAGAAATGAAATAATATGGATGGTGTCTTGATAGAAGTTGTGGCACTCTCTATAGAGAAATCATTCTTGCAAACCTGATCAAACTGCAAAACACTGATTTCCAGGGCCCAAGACACTAACTAGTCTTCCTTTGGCTTACCAGAGAACACTCAGATTCTTTTTAAAGAAATAATCTTAATGCCTGACTTGGATTGAAAACCTGCATTTGTATTCTACAGCAATGGTTCAGGTCATGAACGTTTCACAAGGAAATCAAATAAGTAAATCAATAGTACAGAAACTGTTTACCCCAGGGCCCATCTGCTACCCTGTGGTTCATTATAGTACTTCATATTGCCATGATTAGAGTTCCTCTCTTGTGAGTTAAATAAATGGTATTTTGAATTATGAAAAGTTATTATATATTCATCTAAGCAACTTCCAAAGAATTTTTACACACCACTGAGTACTGGGTATTACATGGCACTGGGGGAGGTTCAGCCGGAGTCTAAAGCATGATTTACAGGTCAGGCTAACCACAGGAGAGGGTAAACAACAAGCAGAGGTATTTCAGACCCGCTATTCAAAACTTTCTCCTGCAGGCTGGGTGCCTTTATTTACATCTGCTTGTGAAAGAATAACATATGTGCAAGAAAATTGCACACTCCAGACCCCTTGTCATTGATTTACATAAACAGAAAAACCCACAAGTTTATATCGGTTCCTCTTCTTTCTTCATAATAGGACAAGTTTTCTCCAGTGGTTTAAATCATTCTTTTCAGCCAAAGCTTTCTGATTGCTCCTTCCTATCAACTTTATTCCTCTCAGTATCCTACAATAGGATAATAACAAAAGCATTGGAGTCTTAATTTCGCAAATAAAAAGGGAGACAAAATGATCAGCCCCAAATCCTCATTCAGCACTAGCAACTGGCTCCCCTTCTCTGGCTCTCTTCCATATCATACTGTTCAGACACATGTGGCCAGGGATCCAGGTCAGCAAGATGGGCTCCATCAGATGTAAGTGGTGCTCAGTGCAGACCTCAGTGGGAGAGAATACATTTCAGCCTAAAGGCCTTTGACGACATATCTCTGGGAGAGGTTAACAAATCATTCATTATTCTTGCTTTTACTCTATAATTATCCCAAATATGTGGGCCATGAGTCCCCTGGAGATTTGGAGAATTAATACAAGAAGGGAGAGAAGAATCCATATTTTCAGAGCATATATACTCAAACAATGTCTGTAGATTGCATAAATATCTTGCACATATAGCTGCTACTGTTTTAAAATTTATACGATTCATATGCACTGCTCTGATTTATGAAATAGCAATTATTTGAAGTGCTATTAAATCATTATGATTTTCTAATTATGCATTGCCACAATCATTACATGATAACCAAGTACACATACTATTATGTAGGGGTTACTGGAAAATAAATGAAGTTTTGTGCCTTCAGAAAGTTGAGACCCACTATTCTAAATGATATGATAAAGTTTATGTTACAAAATAAAATTGGATACAAGGAATCCAGTTTCTTTTTGTGTAATGAACATCTTGAAGCACAGTTTTCAACACTTTTATTCTTTCAAAATTTTATTATTTCCATTTATACCTTTTTGTGTCTATTTTTTTAAAGTTTTGTTTCCCAAAAAATGCCTGTTAAAAAATTTCTTACTTAGGCTTTTCATAGTAAACATATACTTTTTAATAGGAGTTTTTATTTTTTTAATTAAAATCTCCTTTCCATTCCAATACTTACTTTAAAGACACCTAATTGGGAATTGCAGCTTTTATGTTTTTTCAATTTATTTTGAGTTTATTTTTAAAGCAATCACAGAATCTCCAACACTGGTTCCTCTGTATCAGAGCCTCTGATGCACACGTGGATATCTAGTCATTATACCTATTTTTTATCTCTTTCTGGCAATTAAGAACATTCTATATTACTTAGTTCAGAAATAGTGCTATAACTAGTGACATAGTCCTTTGTCTTACAACTGGCTCCATGCCAGAAAAATATGACTGATTTTTCTGAAGAAAGAAGTGTATGTCCCAGAGTTTATTGAGATGATCCCCAAGCAAACTTACAGGCACAATGCTGATTTCAGTGTAGACTTCCTACTGGCCCATCTATGGACTCAAAAATCACTGCCTTACGATAGAAAACCTGGGGAAATGGCAATCGTCATTATGCGAATTGTACTGGTCTTTTTCAATACTTGAAAAGTACAAGATACTACATTTAGAAGACAATAAATTGCAATTATCTTAACCTAGAAGGAAAGAAAGAAACTGAAGTGACCTACAATAGCCATGCACTTGGCAATGATGCATAATTGACACTGTTGAGATGGGTTCTGAGTATGATCATTTTTATTATATCATAATCATTATCATTTCACACATGAAATGTATCATAAAACGAAACCCTAAGATACTACATTTTCACTGGGCTTAATTATACACCTTAAGTCATATTTTAAATACATTACACACACACACACACACACACACACACACACACACACACACGGTATAAATCCTTCTGAGTGCTTGGTCCACTTATTCCTTTGCTTAACTAATTGACCTTTGTAACCAAGAAAATAGTCCTGGATCTCCACCAAGAAATGAACAGCGAAAGTTTCAAAAATAATAAGTAAAGACCAATTATGAAATGTGTCCTCAAATAAATTGTTCCTCAAAATGATTATCAAAATCACATGGGGAATTTTTACTTTTTAATGCAACTTCTCATCTCCCATGACTAAAGTTTCAATAGGTCATAGACAGAGCCTAGGATCTGTATTTATTTAACCCATGAGGTAATTCCAATAATCAGAGAGGTTTGGGTACCACTTACTTGACCTTCTGTTTTTGGAATGTCCCATATGCTCTAATCACCCTCTGATATTTTTCTGAAAACCTACCAGATTTGCCAATGTCAGCAGCCAACCCTAGTCTTCCATGCCACCTAAAGTCTAGCCCACAGCCCACCTCTTCTTTGTTTGCTAGCAATCAGAGAAATAGCACAGCACATGTTTGGACTAATCAAATCTAATAATGAATTGGCACTTACTGTCTACATGGGTTGTTTGTAATGATCATTTGTTCTGATTTCTGGCCATTGTGAGTGATAGGCTTGCTATTCTGCAGCAACTATAACAGATGCAAAGAAACAAGGGACAGGATAAAGAAGAGTACCAGCCTTTGTGCACTCTCAAGGCCACAAGCAGTTCTCACAGTGACCATGTAGCAGTGGACTTGGGAAGACCACAGAAGCCTAGTGATCCTCAGCTGGGAACTTACCTTTGTTTGACATCAACACGTTCTCTCACTGAGTCATTTTAGTTCAAAGTGATACATGTTTTCTGTTGTTTGTTGTTTGTTTTGGTTTGGTTTAGTTTTAGAGACTGGTGACCAAACTAGTAACTTTTGCTCACAGTAGCTGAGGCACGCAGTTCTTTAAGAAATCTAGATAAAATCAGAATTTCCACTAAGACTTTTGCACCTTCTTGAGCTACTTTGCATTTTCCTAGAGTTTCTGTAAGGACTTGACTCTGAAGCATTTCATGAAATTTAGTAGAATTTACTTCTTCAAGATGTTTGTGGTTACAGGGAGATTCACACTGTGGAACAAGAAGACTTCCACCCAGCCACCCAGTTCCACTCTCATGACTTTCCCCATTATTATTCCTGTACTTTCTCCTAGCCCCCAGTTCTGCAACCTCAAGGCAAAGCAGTGCCAAAGTCTGGATATAAGGTGGGATACAGGAGTGATTAAAGGCATGAGCTTTAGCTGGGGTCACACTGCCTGGATTTAAATCCCACCTTGATCAGCACTGTGACTTTGAATAAGACTCTTGGCCATTAGCTATCTCATTTGTCAATTGGGAATGATAATAATGGTGTTTTCTCCACTGAGTTTTTGGGAGAATTATATGAGACCATGTATTAAAGCACAAAGCATAGAATTTGGAACATTATAGGTTCCCACAATATCCCCCAGGAGGCACTTAATATTTGATGATTGACTGAGCTGTGAAATGATGCACCTGATCGGCTTCCTGCCTCATTAATTAGGATTAGAAATGGAATCCAGCTCAGTATTTTATTATTAATACCCAACTAAATACTTGGAGAAATCAAATACCAGTGATTTCAAGAAATTCACATCTAGTTAGGAATATACTGTAAACACATGAAACAAGAGATCTGAGAGGCAAAATACAAGGTGATTAAATTAATAAAATAGAAAATAAAAGTTAAGCAAAGTCATGTTCAGAGTTTGGTAGTGATATTCAATGAAAGTATTTTGAAGGATACATTTTGAATTTGATGTTAAAAATGCTAAGCAACTGAACGTGGCAAGTATGACAGAATAGTTCAAATGGTGGCTACTGTTAAGAAACATACATTGACTGACGTGATTGGAAATAGCAGGTCAATGCAAAACCTTAGCTAAGGTGAGATGGGGAGGGGCAAATGGCAAACAGTAGAGGCCGGATGGGAGAGTTTGTGTTGATTCCTACGGTCATTGGTAGCTGTAAGCTGCAGAGAGAGAAAATAGGAGAGGTACTGGTGGAGAACAGCCTCCTGGAAGAACAAAGGAGTGTGGAATGTGGGCCCCAGAGCTCTGTGGGATGAATGGAGACAGTACAAGTTAATCAAATACTATTCCAGAAATAATGTTCTGACAATATTTAACATAGTTATAATTTCTATCATTTCATGAAATCAGAATCACTCAAACACAGAGCAAAATGTTTTCATGGCATTATCCTTCATGACTGTAGTGATGGAGTGGACCATATGCACACATCCAGTGGGCTGTGAGAGAGGGGAACTATGGGAATCAGCAAAAAATAAAAGCAGAGTCTGGCTTAGAAGCAATCAGATCTGCATTACCTCCTAGCTTTGCCAGTTGCTAGCTGGGTAACCTTAGGCAGGCTACATAACCTCTGTGAGCTTCAGGATCCTTCTGGGTAAAACGTGGATAATGCCCGCCTTGCACAGTTTTCCTGGGGATTAAAGGTAACATGTTCCATACAGTGTCTTCCACACAGTAAACACTCAAAAAATGCTAGACATTCTTGTGGCATGCAATGCATGTAATTGAACCTAAACAACAAGAAGGGCTAGAGTTGAGAGTACTCAAAGGCCCTATCAGAAACCCCAAGTTTTATTTTACTTATTTTTGTTTTTTAATTTTTAAGTTTATATTAAAACTTTTCGTTATTTACCCTCGTGTGAGCTACAGAAGCACCCAAGAGTTGTATTTGCCTTCCCCCTAGTGGTGAGACAAGCCCACTTCAGGCATGCGTCCGAACATCGCATTTTATTGACCAGAAACCCAAGGGCTGAAGAGGTAAAGTGACTTCCCCAAGATAACGGTGTTTTAAAAGGCGGTACTGGAATCCAGGTCTTAGCACTCCTCTTCATGTTATTTTCTAACCACAGCAGGGCTTCAGAGATCCGAGGTAAGTTTAGGCTGGGTGTTTAATGGATACAAAGTACTGATCTCCCTCCCATCACCTCTCTTATGCAATAAGGCTCTTTTTCCTTTTGTAATGAAAGAGTTTAAACAGCCAGCCCTCCTGCCACCTGGAGCCAGGCATAAATGAAATGGTTGTTGAAAAATAAAGGGAAGCTTGCGGTGCTTATGATCAGAGAGGGCTGGGCTCCCATGGAGCAAAAGAAGCCAAGTTGATGCATATTTTTAAAATCCTGATTTAGGGGTCACCAAGCACACACTTTACCAGGAAAGTGGCTGAGGTTGGATACAAGAGGTAAAGGTTCTCACCCTGGGGTGTGGTGGGCTGGGAATGGTTTGCAGCCAGATGAACTGGTTTGAATCCCGGGTACGTCTCTTAAGTGGTCTTTGGTTTTTGACTGATTTTCACAGACTAGATTTTGTCATCTTTAGTTTGAGAACCAATAATTAGCTTTTTAAAAAAAAAAAAGGAAAAAAAAGAACTATATCTGAGTTCCAAATGGCAAGATTTTCAAAAGGAAAGGTTGTTTTATACATAACAGAGCTTTATATAAATGCAAGATGTTACCATTTTCACATTGCAATATACAGTGGATATAAAAATCTACAACTTTGGGTAAAAAAATGTCTGTAACTCATTTCAGTTCTGTTATGAACAAGGCTTTTAATGTCTGTGAGCCTCACTTTAGTCATCTTAAAATATAAATACTCACTTTACAGGTTAATAATGAGAGTTCATGGCATGGCGTCTAGATGTTCAATAAATGTTAGTTGAATCTAAAATGAAAGCAACCAACCCTCAATTTCCTTCCTTTATTGTCTTCCCCAAAACCATACAAATAAGCAAGGCAGAAACTAGAGATGAAACTCAAGTCAATCAATTTGAAATTTTGGTCAGAGGTTTGGTTGGTAGACAAGATTAAAGACAACCTCAAACACAGCTCTACAGATTTATAGGTGGGTAAATTGCCCTTAGTAAACCTAGCCTCATTAACATGACAGGATGGCCTGGCTATATTTAGACGAATACCTGCCTTTTCTTTTGAAATTTAGGAAAGAGAATTTGCCAAGTTTTAGGGTTTTTTGAACTGTGTTCTATGAAACAATAAGGTGTCGGAGGGTTCTCAGGACTCTGCAAGAGAGGGTTGGTGATACTAGGGTGGGCTTCTGGGGGCCCCTGATTCTCTGGTTCAACCTAAGCATCCACACTTTTTATGTTTTTATTTGGGGAAAAAAATTCTGCTTTAAGACAATTTTTAAAACTATGACCATGGCCCTTATGAGGTCTGGTGACACATCCCATCCTGATTAGTTGGGCCTTTTTACATGTTCCAGAAGTGGCACCACGAATTCCAGCTAATTCTCTTACCAGCACAGACTGAGGATCGCAGAGGGGAAAGGCTGAGAAGAAACACAGCGAGATCATTAAAGTAACTGACTGGTGGGTCCAGGGAGGCTGGGGGAGGGATAATGGGGAAAGGAAACATGTTGATCAAAGAGTACAAAGTTTCAGTTGGACAGGAGTAATAAGCTTTAGTGATCTATTGCACAGCATGGCGACTATAGTAAATAATAATGCATTGTATATTTCAAAACTGCCAAAACACTAGATTTTAAATGTTTTCCCCACAGACACAAAAAAGTAAATATGTGAGGCCATGGATTTTTTAATTAGCTTGATCTCATCATTCTACGAGGTAAACATACATCAAAACATCACATGGTATCCCATAAATATAATTACTACTTGTCAATTAAAAACTTAAAAAATAAAGTAGCTGCCAAAGACTGTATACTGACTTTGTGCCAAGTCACTGTCCTACATCCAAAATTACTTTAGTGAATGCTCATAACAACTGCATGATCTGTGTAGTACTATTATGATCCCCATTTTACAGGTGAAGAAAACTGAGACACAGAGAGATTACTTGCCCAGAGAGTGAGCAGTGGAGTCCGGTACAGGAAATTTGGTTCTAGAACCTGCACTTTTAGCCTCTCTCCTAGATTGTTTCTCATCCCACAAATAAATCATGCAAATAACTGTAACTAGGAAGAAAAATAGTCAGCTCCAGTGTTGTCAGGAGTGTCACCTTGCTAGACAAGGGGTCATAGGCTATTATAGGATGCAACTTCGCTACATTTTCTACTGAAGAAACCCTAACTGAAGAAGAGGTGATGTCCCTAAAGCAGGCCATTGCAAGGGACAAATTATCCTGGAAGTTTGTTTTAGCTTAAAAATAAGTCATATGCGGCTGTGCACAGTGGCTCACACCTGTAATCCCAGCACTTTGGGAGGCCAAGGTGGGAGGATTGCTTGAGTCAGGGGTTCAAGAACAGCCTGAGCAACATAGTAAGACCCCAGTCTGTAATAAAAGAAAAAAAAATTGCCAGGTTTGGTCATGCATACCTGTGGTCCCAACTACTTGGGAGACTGAGGCGGGAGGATAGCTTGAGCCCCCTGGGAGGCCGAGGATGCAGTGAGCTGAGAATGTTCCACTGCACTCCAGCCTAGGTGACAGAGCGTGACCCTATCTCGAAAAAAAAAAAAAAAAAAAAAAAAAAAAAGTCACATGCAATCTGCATACTTTACAAATGGGAATTATATTTTTAAAAATATTTCCATGTTGCGATGACTAGTAACTTACCAGTGAAATTACGTAACCCTGCTTCCCCTTTATCCACCACCGCACTTCCAGCGAAATCATCATTCCCGAAACTGCGGTCTTTTTATCCCGTGGTTTCATGACATACGTGTTGTTGAAGCACAAATGTAAAAGACAGGAAATCTGTTAGCTATGGTCTGTTCAGTATGTTTTGAACACTGGGTTATATTAAGTTAATCTCCCAAACAAATCCTATGCTCCAGACCTCCTTTTCCCTCAATGACCTAACAGTAGGGCAGGAGTATCTTCCTGTTCCCCCAGAGGTGGATTGCCATGGAGCTCATGAAGCTTAAGGTGTAGGCCCCTTACTTGGACAGTAATGCATTGACAAAGTCATAAGAGTTTGTAAAGTTTGCAAAAGAAAAATATCTTAACCACAATCAGTTGACATCCCTGTCTCTTTTCATTTCTACTTTCCCTCTGTTACATCTTTCTTCTTGTCAGAAGGCAATGGGGTGGCCGTGGGCATTTTTAAGACCTGGAGAAGGGGAAGTTAATTTAAAGATATGTCATTTGTGTGAGTGAGATACAGTCACGTGGCTTGCAGTCGCTTCCATGTATTACTAGCTGTCTAGGAACAGAAATGGTTTCAAGGAAATGCCTGTCTTCCTCTGTGATGACCCACCCCACAATATTGTGATATGAAGATGTAAGGCATAAGTCAAATGAGTTATGAACATGGCAGCCAGCTTTAGGAGTGTTCAGCAGCAGGAAAAAACAAGGTTTGAAATGAACAAAATCAGAAGCTAATCTATAAAAATTCTTCCAAATATTACAGCTCATATGCAAAGAAAATTTCTAAGATGGTTTTCCCAATGTTGAGAATCTTAGAAATGTACATGGCATAACCAAATAGAAGGGTAAAGCTGAAAGAAATGCGTAAACTGTCAATATCTGGCTCAACTATGCTAAGAGAAAGACTAAATTACCTATTATCCATCAGAAACCTATGAAGAAGCAGAGTGTGTAGACAAAACTGTAGGAAAAAGTGACACAGATGCGTCAGGCAGTTAATGAATAAAAATGCCTTACTGGACTATGCATACACAGTTTATCAACTTTTTTAATTTTGTAATTTCATGGGATTTTCTTATTCTAAATACTCACATTTGCCCCTAAGTTTGTATTCTCTCTTAAAGAGGGTGACAAATTTGCATAAGTTTCAGATTCCATCAATCTGCCTGCCCCCGAGCATTACCCACCAATGTCCTCAGAGCACCTATGTGCTCTTCCTTCTGGCTGGAATATTCTTCCCCTAGAAAGGTGCACATCTCACTCCTTCGCTTCATTCAGGTTTCTGCTAAGACATCAGCATACTCAATTTCCCAAGCAAATTCCTATCTAAAATAGAATCCCCTAGGACCCTCGTATGCTGTTGGAGGGAATGTAAATTAGCATAGCCACTATGGAGAACGGTATGCAGGTTACTCAAAAAACTAAAAACAGAACTACCATATGATCCAGCAATCTCACTGCTGGGTATATACCCAAAAGAAAGGAAATCAGTGTATCGAAGAGAGATGTGCACTCCCATGCTTACTGCAGCACTATTCGCAATAGCCAAGACGGGGAATCAGCCTAGTGTTTATTAATGGATGACTGGATAAAGAAAACGTGGCACATATACACAGTGGAATATTTTTCACCCATACAAGAGAATGAAATATTGTCATTTGCAACAGTTTGGATGGAACTAGATGACAATATGTTAAGTGAAATAAGCCAGGCAGAGAAAGACAAATTTTGCATATCCTCACTCATATTTGGGAGCTAAAAATTAAAACAATTGAACTCATGGAGATAGAGAGGAGAATAATGGTTACCAGAGGCTGGGAAGGGCTGTGGGGAAGATAAAATGGGGATGGTTAATGGGTACAAAATACAGTTAGATAGAAATACACAACAGGGTGAGTATAGTTAACAATAGCTTGTTGCCCATTTAAAAATAACTAAGAGAGTAGAATTGGAATTTTCCTAACACAAAGAAATAATAAATGCTTGAGGTGGTAGATACCCCAATTGCCCTGATTTGACATTACACATTGTATGCTCGTATCAAAACATCCCATGTACCCCATAAACATGTACAACTATTATGTATCCATACTAAATAAAAACAAAATAAATAGAATCCCCTGTATTCCTCACCACTCTCTATCCTTTTATATCACTTTACTTCACAGTATTTACCACCTGATGTGTCCCCCCACTATAATATAATATAAGCTCCGTAAGAGGAGCAACGTCATCTGTTTTGTTCACTGCTTCATCTGTGTTGTTGAGATCAGTAACTGGCACACAGCAGGCACTCAAATATTTATGGGTTGAATAAACAAAAATGTGTGTGTGTGTATATGCACATGTGTGCATGCAGATTTATGGAGGCATGATAGATTGATAGATCGATAGATATAAATATATAGAGAGAGAGAAAGAGAGAGAGAGAGAGAGAAAGAGAGAGAGAGAGAGATACCCAAATCGATGGAATGGAAGGGTTGATCTGGTCTCTACAGCCAGGAAAATCCGATTCAGAGAAGGAGCAGGAGTTCTCGTCTTCCTGAGTCCATACGCCTTTGTCCAGCCAGGTCATCCTCTTTCATTTTAACCCATGGTAATTCCAGCAATCTACTCCTACTTTTCTCAGAGGAGCCCCGGGATAATCATCTAAAAAGAATAAAACTTTTAGTTTAAAAACTGCCCGTTTTTAAAGTCAAGACCCCAGTGACCTGGCAAATACTTGCCTCGCCCACAGAGTCACAAAGAAATGACTTCAGCAAAATCCCACCCGCCAAAGGCCGTTGGCTTATTGTCTGGGGGACCATTGAGATTCCTAAAACGTGACAGCCTCTATCAAACCTGCCAGCTCTCTCCAGGAAAATCAAGGACTCTTCAGGCCTCTGCATAGTGAGCTAAAGCGTTCCTAAGTCAGCTTTTGTGCAGAAAAACAGCCTTGTGCAAGCCCCTGATAGAGAAATTAGGACGTAGTTTCCTCGCATCGCACCGGACCACATTTGCTCCTACGAGGCAACGATCATTGAAATGTCCTGTTAATCCGTCAGCCAGTGTCCTGTAGGACTCGGCACTGGGGTGTCCCCAGACTACTAATATGGACTGATCGGTGGTTCAAAAGCTGACTAAAAAGTTATAAAACTGGAAAGGGAAATGGGGGGAATGGGGAAACCCGCAGTGTTTTTTTTCCCCGTCTGTGCTAACACTGCCACCTAGTGTTATGAATACGAAGAACCTGCAAAATCAAAATTCTCACAAAGAAATGCAGATTTAGGAACATAGTCTCATTAAGTGCCATTTATTGTTGATTTTTCTAAAATGGTGTCAATCCTGTTTCATCTGGAAAGCTGAAATAAAGTTTTGTAGAAAACAGCACAGGCATTACTTCTTGCAAAAAGCTAAGAGTTAACATCTATTGTTTCTATTCACCAGCCACCTTTCCAAGAGCTTCACGTGAATTTACTCAGTTCTTGGTCACAAGAAGCTCATGAGAGGTGCTACTAGTGATTCCTGTTTCACTTTTGTTTTACACGTGAAAAAATTGAGGCACGGGGAGGAAAAGTAAGGTCATCAAGGTTACATGCGCAGGAAGCCACTAAGCCTCAGATAGTGTCAGTCTTAAACTGCTGTCTTCACATTTTATACCATCCTGTCCCTCTTTCTAAGTGCTAATTGCCAGAAAGACAATGCACAATAATTAGAAAACTTGAATTGAACCCTCAAGGAGTTGCGAGACAAACAGCTTTTTGTGGCAAAAAAAATTAAGAGGAGACAGTGTTTTATCTGATCACCAACAGCTTTTCAAATGGAGATTCGTGTATAAGGGTTTAAGATTCTCCTACAGGTATAACAAAACAAGTAAAAGAGTGCATCCTACGGCTAACACTCCAATTCTCCAAAGATGCAAATGTGTTTTAATGCAATCTCCTTCACATGGAGTCATAAAGATACATTACAAGGTTGTAAGATGGGAAGACCCGACAGGGAATTAAAAGGCATCTTCATCAGTTTACTTCATTCTCTTGGCTTTCCATTGCCAGGGCTTTAAACCTTTTAATCTCATCTTTTTAAGTAAGGCACTTCGGTTTAAAACAAATACAGATGCATATAGCCCCCAATATGCATATTTATGTATAAATCTCATACATAAATCTCATACATAAAGCACTACATTTTGTGTATATCATTAAACTATGCTAAAAAGGTAAAAAAGAGATAAAAGCAGTATTTTCACTATTTATAAGCTTTATAAAAAAACAAACATGCCTCCTTCAAAATTTTTTTTTTCAAATGTAGTATGATTAAATAGTCTCTATTTTTACAAAGTATCTTGGTTGACCAAGATTGGAGACTTGGTTGTGAGCTAGTGTGTGGGCATCCTTGGTCTGCATGGTTATCACAAACGGATGCAGATACAAAAATTAGGTGAAAGCAGTTGGTCTATGGCTGGTTTACTAAATCATGGAGCTCATTACTCAATGGTATGTACCAGTTAAGTGGAGGCTTTGTTAAAAATGAGCTAGTAAATTTCCATTCCACTGCAGTCACTGACTCTTCCTTTTGTGTATATTCGCATAAATTTGTTCAAACCCTGATAAAATATATCATCTGAAAATAGTTTTAAACATATTAATTTCTGATGAGAATTTTTATGCATGAAATATTTAGTTTGTTTGCAAAAAAATGTATAACAATGGGAACTTGTTTGTTTGTTTTTGAGATGGAATCTCGCTCTGTCACCAGGCTGGAGTGCAGTGGCGCGATCTTGGCTCACTGCAACCTCCGGCTCCCGGGTTCAAACGATTCTCCTGCCTCAGCCTCTCGAGTAGCTGGGACTACAGGCGCCCGCCACCATGCCTGGCTAATTTTTGTATTTTTAGTAGAGACGAGGTTCCACCATGTTGGCCAGGATGGTCTTGCTCTCCTGACCTCGTGATCTGCCCGCCTCCGCCTCCCACAGTGTTGGAATCACAGGCGTGAGCCATGGTGACCGGCCACAATGGGAACTTTTAAAATATTAATTTTGAAAACAGTCTATCACATTTCTTTCAAAATGTTTTCTTATTTATTTTTAAATGGTGACATTTATCTGACAAGAAAATATAATTCAGTTTGTATTTGTATTTTAAATATCTGTTAGGGAAACTATGACAACCATTTATCAAGGAAAAGTTCAACACATTTGGAAAGCTTTTTTTTGAAAAATAAAAAATGTAGAACATCTTTAACTATGGCCAAAGTAATGAAAACAAAGCCACCCAACAATTTTGTAACAAAACAAAATGTTCAAGGTCATTCTTCATCTCATTACAAAGTGTTATTCTACTCTAGTAAAGACCTTGTTTTTATAAAATTAACCACATTTATAAATTTCTGGCTTCCATTTCTTTGAGGCTAAAACTTGTAACAAATTATGCAGTAAAAATAGTATATTAATAATGATAAAATCTGAGGCTCTCTAAAACTTTGTTCTGGAATCCTTGTATTCCAAAATAGCTATTCCATCAATGTTACAGTCAGTAAGCTTACAATTTTATCATAAATTGTTTTTAATAAAGTAATTTATTGTTTAGTGTTTGTCTTCTGGAATGTTTTTCTTTGGATGGCTCATTAGTAGTAGCAGTTCTTGTATTTTGTCAACAGAATTTTGCAAATACCATAAGCTGAGATATGATGGGGACAAACACACTATGTAGCAAACCTCTCACACTGAATTATTTGTTCTCATACTCATTTCTTCTGGACTTCAATGTCTTCTGTGCATCTTCCAGCAAAATTTGCTGACAAAGGCATCTCCATGTTATTTTCAATATGTTATTTCCGTGATTTTAACCTCAGGAAGGTTAAAGGAAGGAAGAGCAAGAGTATTCACCTCTGTCATCTGCTACTACGTAATAAAATATCGGAAGCTTCTAAACATCTATGATTACAGATAGTACATTATATCCTATCAGGATAGGTTGAAATCTTGACGTTAAACATCGCTGAAAAAAACTGTAGGAGTTTTTCTTCATGTTTTTCTTGCTTAGTTTTTAAAAATCTTGCTTGCAAGGTGATGCCACAATACATCACAACATGCTGAAAGCAAATGATCAAGAGAGGGCACCCGTATTAACCTCTGCACGGTGTGGAACTCCCATTCGACTTCAGAATATGTCATGTTCTCTATACCACGTGTGACAAACTCAGCCAAAAAGACAGGCATATGTGTGTCAATCCTTCCATGAGTGATTAGAAAAACTTAAAATTTTTACTTTCAAACATATAAATACACATAAGTGTTCTAATACTTTCTTCTTACAAATACAAATAAATCATCTTGCACTTCATTTTGGACAGCACTAACCATAAGAAATGAGTTATGTGCTGACCAAATGAGCATTGTAGAGGTCATTGAAATAATCACTACTCCACTGAAAATTAGGTCTGACAGAGATTACAAGTGCCATTTCGTCACATCTTTGTGATGAGCACACATTTATAATAAAGACAATTTAAGAAAAACATTAATATTTGTAGTCAAAATCATATTAATGTACTCCCCTTAAAGAAGCAGATCCGCGAGGGGAAGATACTCATGTTTTTAGTTGGTAAATATCAAAGTGACTGTGGTATGCTGAATAATGTCTCTCCAAAGATGTTCTCCTCCTAGTCTCTGCTACCTATGAATATGTTACATCATATGGCAAAGGGACTTTGTAGGTGTGGTAAAGGATCTAAGGGTAGAGATGACCTTTTGCTGACAGAGCATGCCTGTTGACCCAAAGAAGTCACACACGGGGGGTGAAGGGATGGGTGTTGACACTGCATACTGGGTAGGCTGTGCTGCAGACACCTTCTAGCCATGGGCCAGATGGGAAAGTGGACACCCCAGAGGAGGGTGTCATGAAAGGCTAACTCATTAGAAAGACCACACAGATCAACAGGCACTGCAGTGAACATCGCTATAAAAAACAGGGAGAGGCCGGGCGCGGTGGCTCATTCCTCTAATCCCAGAACTTTGGGATGCCGAGGTAGGCGGATCACGAGGTCAGGAGATCAAGACCATCCTGGCTACGGTGAAACCCCGTCTCTACTAAAAATACAGAAAATTAGCCGGGCATGGTGGCCGGCGCCTGTAGTCTCAGCTGCTCGGGAGGCTGAGGCAGGAGAATGGCGTGAACCCAGGAGGCGGAGCTTGCAGTAAGCCGAGATCATGCCACTGCACTCCAGCCTGGGCGAGAGAGTGAGACTCCATCTCAAAAAAAAAAAAAAAAAAACAGGGAGAGCAAAGGGCTTCCACAGGCCCATGACACTGTCCATGCAAACATACCAGTGCTTAGATGCCACCGATGGGGGAAGGAGAGAGGGAGGCAAAATTCTGATTTGACCGGATTAAATCAGAAGCAGCTGTAGAAAAGAAATAGATAAAACTAGATTTTTGTGTCCTGCCTTCAGATGGAATGGAACTCCAAACAGATACTAAGTCCAAGTATAGAAAAATCAATGTTAATTTTCATAACTTTGTTAATGTTGATTTTCATAATTTTGGCAAGGTAGTATGAAAATATTGTATCCCTAAGCACTCAATAAACACAGAAAGCACTCAATAAACACTATTAAGGAGAACTCAGGAGGGCAGAGGGTCTTTCCTGTCTCCTCTGTAGCTGTGAGCTGTATTCCTGAGAGGAAAACTTTCACATATGCAGAATGAAGGCATCGTGGACATTCTAAACCTGATCATATATTTAAACTTGAGACGGCTTCAAAAGTAGCGTTCTATGGCTAAAAGATCCTAGATAGCTAGTCTGATTTGGATGTAGAACTGGATTCAAGCGCATACATGACTGGAGGGCTTGACCCAGGAGTTCTTCTGGCCGTCTTTGATGGATGTTCTCCTGCTGCTGTGAAACAGGTTGAAAGGGTAAATGAGCTTCTGACAAATGCAGGGGGAACTCTCTATTTTAGCCTGAAATGGCAACAGGCAGATCAATCCTTTGCATGCAGGTCTATGACACAGAATTCATTATAGATCTAAGAAAGCACTTTGGGGAGGAGGGGAAAAAGGTACAACAAATAGAACACAAAAATATCTTATGTTAAAATCCTGGATATAACATAGAAAAAAACTGCTGCATTGTTTTCCTGATTCTAATGGGCCTCTCCTAGGGAATTTTGAGTAAGTCCTATTTCTTCTCCAATCGAATTTTAATGGCAAAGAGTCACGATAATCTTCCACAGAAATAGTGTTGTGAAAAATACTTCTCTATAAAGAGGTTTGAGGATCTTTACAGTGAAAGTAGCAAAGAGCTTCACACAGAGTTGTCAAACAACATTCAAGTCACTTAATAGGTCACCTAAAACTGTGTTAAACAATACCATGGGATATTGGCATGTAAAATCCATAAAGTGTTTAAAATTTAATCACAAAAGGTTGACTATTAGTTTCACGATTTGCTTTCATGAACTTTTATATAAGAAATTTGAACAAGTATATTCCTCATGCTTTACAAGTATTCACTAATTACCAGGTTCCCAATGCTTCACCTGTTACCATAAGCTGATCTTTTATATTTTCTAGAACACATCAAATTTTCAATCAAGTAACTACTTGCACACATGATCCTTGTTGGGTACAATTGAAGGAAAGATCCTTGTCCGCTCTCCTGTTCTCCCTATATTGTTTAAGAAACTCACTGAAAATAAGACAAGGTCTTGCATAAAGCAAATACTCAGTACATATTTTTGAGGTAATTCATAAAGTCTAACAACGGTAAACATTGTGGTTGACTCCAACATTCATTTCATCACACTCCCTTCGGTTAGCAATAACATGACTGTAAGCTGGTCTTCACTGAAGGAGGTCATGTTTGCCATGAGAATGGGATTACCCTTTGTTCAGAAATGGACGAATAACTCAAGTCTGGCCGATGAGAACAAAAATATTTTGCTGAAAGCTTCTGGGAAGTTTTCCTACACACTTGAGAGCACTAAGCAGTCAGTCTCTCTTCCAGGAGATAATAACAAGGAAGCATGAAGCCCTTCACTTGTCTTGCAGCCATGGTCGTAACTAGCCTCAGGATCAGGACAACATTGAGAATGGCCAAAGAGCCTGAGATAAATAGGCTTTTTTTTTTTTTTTTTTTTTTTTTTGAGATGGAGTCTCACTCTGTCGCCCAGGCTGGAGTGCAGTGGCGCGGTCTCGGCTGACTGCAACCTCTGCCTCCCGAGTTCAAGCGATTCTCTTGCCTCAGACTTCCAAGTAGCTGTGACTACAGGCACAAGCCACCACGCCTGGCTAATTTTTTGTATTTTTAGTAGAGACAGGTTTCACTGTTAGCCAGGCTGGTCTTGAACTCCTGACCTCATGATCCGCCCACCTCGGCCTCCCAAAGTGCTGGGATTACAGGCATGAGCCACCGTGCCCAGCATGAATATGCTTCTTTAATTACGTTATTGAACTGCTGGATGAATCAGCCTTCTCAACTTCCTTTTAGGTAAAGAAATAAACTTCTTTATATTTAAGTCAATTTGAGCATGCAAATGAATACAATGGATATTTCTTTTACTGTTTAAACCCAATACCCTATTTCCAGCTACCTTTAGACATTTTTAAATGTATGTCCACCCTGCTGTATGCTCTATCCAAAACAGGAAATATCTCCACCTTCAACGAATATCTAAACCACCCAGGCTTCAGGTCCCAAAGTTATTCATTCGTTTGTCTTTTGGTCCAGTTCGCGGATACATTATCACCCAGAACAGCAGTCCCAGCCTTTTTGGGACCACAGACAGGTTCATGGAAGACAATTTTTCCACAGACGGGGTGGTCAGGATGGTTTCGGGATGAAACTGTTCCACCTCAGATCATCAGGCATTAGATTCTTATGAGACTGCAAGCTAGAACCTTTGGATGTGCAGTTCACAATAGGGTTCACACACCTATGAGAATTTAATGCCGCCACTGATCTTACAGGTGGCGGAGCTCAGGCAGCAACGCTGGCTTGCCCACCGCTCACCTCCTGCCATGCTGCCAGGTTCTTAATAGGCCACGGACCAGTACCAGTGCACAGCCCAGCCATTGGAGATCCCAACCCAGAGTATCTCGAGTGACCTGCTCATTCCTCTGCAAAACAGGCCAACTCTGTAAGGTTCAGCAGGAATACAAAACAAGGGAAGAATCACTGGGATGTTTATCTTAACTGAGAAATAATATTTTGTTCCTTCCACATGATTTGTTAAGATTGTATCTGCCCTTAAATGTGTGGTTTAAACAGCAATTCTGCTGTCAGGTCACTTCCTCCCTCCTCACACACTCTCTCATAGTCCTTGTCTCTTCTACCATGTACTAGGATACTTTGGGTATGTGCCTCTCTTCTCCCTGTGAGAATAACGATTGTTTTATATTCATCACATAAACTCCTAGTATCTACACGTTTCATGAAAAAGAATCTGGAAGTTGTTTTCCTGCCTCCTATGCATGGACTTTAAGCACAAATTAGTTTTGTTTTTTTTTTTAAATGTCATTTTTACTGACATGAACTGGGACTTGCATTAGCATGCCTTCTAATCCCTCCTCCAGATTGTGAGGATGGATGTTAAAGTGCAAAATAAAACAAGTAAAATCTCAACCCTGAGGCACCCCATTAGGCATGTCTCTCAACTCTAGCAATCAGGCAGTAGTTACCATTCTGTGCCTATGCATTGAAATTCAGAGAGTTTCACCCTTTTTTGGCTAGTTTTCACTCTTACATAAACATTTCAAGTAAAATGCTAAGATTAAATTCTTAAGCAGAACAAATTCAATTTTTCCGCTTTCCTTCCTAAATTGGGCACTGAAGATGTTCCATGCCTTCACACAGACAGTAAAATCACCTTCTCTCCTCCTCTACATTCATGCCAACCCAGAAACATTTGTTTTCTCAGGACTATTGGAAGAAGAAATCATTCTTCTCTCTACTCTGCTCCCTTGTTTCTCCCCATAGAGGGAGGAGTGACAAACACCACCCCCTTTGGGAAAGACTGAATGTTAGAAGTGGCCACTCATGTGGCCTGAACCCTGAACTATTCTTTGACCTTGTCTTTGAAGCTGCCTGTCCACAGGCCACATGCAGTCCTCTGTCCTCCATGTGGTTAGCCCATAAGTACAGAAGACAAAGGGCCCTTCTCTTCGATGCTTCGTCATTAAGCTCAATCCAAGTGGGAAGTTGTCCAGCAGAAAAGAAGCTGATATTTTCCATCCTTACCTCCTAAAAGGTTCCCTATTGGCTCAGCACTGAGGAAAGATGGGTTTAATTACCTAACCACGTGTAATTCTCAAATATATCAACTGAAGAAATGAATGCCTAAAGAATACACCTGTATCTACTGCCTGTAAGGCAAGGATATGAAGATGTAGATTTCAGGAACAGTTATGACATCCCAAAACAAAGAACTTGGCCAGATCCAGTAACTTATGTCTATAATCCCAGTGCTTTGGGAGGACGAGGCAGGAGAACTGCTTGAGCCCAGGAGATTGAGGCTGTGGTAAACTATGATCACCTGGGTGACAGAGCAAAATGCAATCTCTAAATCAATCACAAAACTAGCTTATGCCTTAATATGGCATGTAGACAGCAATTTTTTTATTCAGCTTCTCCCTGCTTCCCACAAAGCATAAACACATTGAAAATAAAAAATTCTTAATGTTAAGATTTAAAACTGGCAAACTAATGCTGGAATCTAGAGGGGATTTCCATCAACTACCACATAGCTGAACTATGTGTCAAAACTTAAGGACCAAAGCTTGTTTGTAGCTTGAAATCAGACAGACTGGCCTGCATCTTGGTTAAAAGACCTAGGGTTTGTATCAGAACATTGCAGAGCAGAAATGCCCCCCAGCTGACCAGCTCTGCACCTCTGAGGCAGATAGGGTAGCCTCAACCCCAAAACCTTTATTTCCACAATATTCTGTGATCCTCAGAAATTACAGGGCAGAGGGAGGAGGAGAAGGATCTCATGTGTGTTGAGGTGACATACAACACACTGGGAAGTGCAGCTCCAGTTGCTAGTACATTATAGGGAAGGGTGCAGACAGTAAGTAGCCTAGAAATGGCTTTCTATGTTACCCTTCAACTTATCTCCCTGGGAAAACTGGGCAAGAGCATCAGGTCCATTTAAATACAGCCAGGCACTGAAAACTGGGCCAGCTACCCTATACATGAGGAGCCCCCAACTGAACCTTTGAGAAGGACAATATCAAACACAAACATGTGTATGATCAGGGAAAAGGCACGTTGCAAACTGATTTCCAATGTCAACCCTCAGGCCTAATTTTATTGGATCTCTGGGAAGCATTTGACACAACAGGCCTCTCTCCTTAAAATATGGTCTTGACTTGGTTTCCAGGGCACCAGGGTCTTGGTTCTCTCTCGCTCACTTTTCTGTATCTCTGATCTCTAGTGCTGGAGGGCCTCAGGATTCAGTCCTTGTACATCACCTCCACTCTAGTTACAGTCAGATTCCAGGTGATGTCCCCGCAATTCTCAGCTGAAATTCCTTCTACATACTGATGACTCTGTATTTCCAGCCTGGGCCTCTCCCTTGCATAGCCAGCTGCCTACTCAACACTGCTATTGAGGTATCTGATAGATTGCTCAACCTCACTATGCTTAAAAACCAAATCTCTGATCACCCTACCCAAATGTGCTTTACTCGTAACCGTCTCCATTTCAGAAAAAGGCAATTCCATTTTTCCAGCTCCTCAGGCCAACATTTCAGATTCATTTTTTACTCCGCCCTCTTTTGCGTCATCCAATCTTGATCAAATTCTACCAGCTTCACCTTCAGAACACACACACACTACAATCTTCCCTCTCCTCACTACCTCCCCTACACCCATCCTGTTGAAGCATATGTCATCTTTTGCCTGGATAATTTCAATAGGCTCCAAACTGGTCTCCCTGCTTTTGCCTGTCCTTCTGCAGTCTTGTTCATACAGTAGTCTGTAGCAGTCCTTTTAACACAACAGTCAGTTTGTTTCATTCCTCTTCTCAGAACTCTCCGGAGTCTTTCTCTTCCATTCAGAATATAAGACCCCATGTCCTGCAACCACTGCTGCTCTGTGCCCTCCACTTCCCCATGGCTCCTAAACCCTCCACACTCACTCCACTCAACCACACTTGCTTCCTGGACACACCAAATACTCTCCTGCGCCAAGCCTTGTCACTTGCTGCTCCCTGTGTCTGGAATGCTTTTCCATCAAGTCTCTGTTCCTTCATTTCTTCAAGCTTTGGCCCAAATATCAAAAGGCTGTCCCTGACCACCTGTATAAAAAGCACTGTCAAACTTCCATTTCCAGCACTTGCATCTTTCTTACCCAGTATTTGTTCTTTGTTGCTCTCATCGCCACCTGCATGTTATTTTTTCATGTATTGTTTTATCACCTCCCTCAACCAGAAAAATAAGACCAATCAGAGCCAAGACTGTATTTCTTCACTGTTCTACCCATGGTGCCAAAAGCAGTGCCTGGAGCATAAAGTATGAATTAAAAAATTTGTTGAAGGGCTGGACTCTTCCCTTGTTCCTAGGTGAAGTAACAAATACCCAAGGGCTTATACAAATGTAGAGCCGGTATCCTAGAAGAAAATAGCTCTGAAAACTGTACTTATAATTTGTACTAACAGAAATGTTATCACTAAGTAAGATAATGTGAGAAATGGGGGAAAAAATCATAAGAAAACAAGAGCAGATGAAAAGACAAAAGGCTTAGATGAAAAGGAGCAATGGTCAGAAAGGATTTTGGATAAGGAAACGAAAATGATGGCAGAATTAAGGCATCCTCTGGGGACAGTGGAAAACAGAATTAACAAGGCAGAAATTGATAGTGGTTTCTTCATTCATTTATTCAACCACTGCATATTGAGGGCTGCCTCTGCATACACATCAGGCAGAGAACAAGGCAAAAGAACTGTATCTTCATAAACATGCAGTGAGATGAACAAGCCCACGTGCTGCTTATAGGAGTCGAAGCCAGCAGTGCCTTTCTGGAAACCACTTTGGCAATATATACTATGAGTGTCTTAAAATGCATAATCTCTGAGCAACTATTTCATGTCTATGAAAATAATATAAAGAAAGAGATGATCATAGAGTATCACAGAATTTACATATTTATATATAACATGCACATATTAAAATGTTTGATCTTAGAAACAAGTGAAAAATACACAGTAATGGAATTATCAACTAAATATTACCAAGGCCAAACAATGGAGCACTATGCAACCATGAAAAAAGATAAAAATAATTTTAAGAACATGGAAAAATTCACAATCTATACTTATAAATAATTATATGCAGAATGAATTCAAACACAGAGTTCTTGTCTTTGGAATTTGGGATTCAGAATTATATTCTTTATGCTTTGGGGCATTTGACAAGTTATCCTCAAGGAACACATTATTACTTTAATAATAATCAGAATAAGTACTAAATAAAATTTTTATCTCCCACATTAGCATTTCTTACATATTTTGAACCTATTCCAATACAGTTCTCAGTTCCTAGAATCCTCCATTCCACTTACATTATTATAAAAGATTCCAGTAAGTTTAAATTTTTGCTCAAAGCATGCTAAAGTTTTGTATCCTTGCATTCCCGCTCCAGATTTTTTAAACAAGAGACTACATTTTTTGCTTTATAGATATTCTAAGCTCACTGTTGTCTTCTCCTTTTATCATGGGGTTAGTAAAAGATTTTATTCAAATGATCCAACAATTCATCACTCTCACCATACAAATATATTGTATCCAAAAACATAACTTTATCAAAAATAAACTTCCTTATTAAAATGTTTCAGTAAACACATCCAGACTGTGGCATAGTTTCGAAGGTATACACCATGTCAAAATTTGTCAAAGTATACACTTTAAATATATGCAGTTTATTACATCAATTATACCTTAGTAAAGCTACTGGATAAAACATAACATCAAAAAAGGCCACATACTGAAATATGGCTAAAAGGCCTGAGGTCAGACACATACACCTAAGAAAAAGACGACCCACTCGTTAAATGCATCAGCAAGTTTATTTACAAATGCAATTGAACAGAAAGGCTCACCAGTTTCTGAAGAAGACTTCTAGTATACAAACCATGGTTATTTTTCATTAATGAAAATAAGCAGCTTTCTATTGGGAATTACTTAGCAACATTTCTGGTAAAGAAAATAGAGCTCCCTTCATCAAGCAAATAAATGGTACATTAACTGCATTTTTAAAAATCAGAATAATAGGTAGAAGGAAGGATACAGAAAGCACATTTGGGGATAGATTTTAATGAAATTTTCCATATGGTTCTGCATTAATTTAGAATACATTACAATAAACAGAGCAAATGCAATTATGTATTTATATTAACTATTTCAAATAATGTTTAAGAACCTTTTTTTAAAAAACAATAAAATACCCTCTTCAAAACACCACTAACTAGAAAGTCAAACTAGATCATTATCTGCCTCAAAAATATTCGTAGGTTCTTATTTTTTCCCTTGTGCTCTCAAGATGCTGAATTCAACAGGTAAATACTGCACTTTTCCCCACACACAATTACCTTATAAATAAACAACAAAAATACTGGTTCTACCAAGACTACAATGCTTCTATGTAATCTAAAGAGGCAAAAAAAGTTATTCTTTTTTTTAAAAAAAAAGCAAAAAAGACATACAACACATATTTATAGATCTACATGAGCAGCAACCACCTCTTCTTCTATCTGCAACAGTGCTTTCGTATGGAGGCTTACATCACATGGCGGTTGGCCGTCCAGCTGATCGGGCAAGGAGAAAAGAAAGAAAAGTGCTTAGATTCAGAAACGTGAATATTGCCATCTGGGATACATAGCAGTCATCACTCAGAAAGTGGCCCAATGAGGTAGAAAGAGTAACCTGTCACTCACTCTTAGGATAAAGCTAGGCAAGTCTCAGTGTCTCGTCTCTGGAATTCTTTATTTGTAAAAATGGAGTAAAAATGAACTGCTCACAATAGAAATAAATTACACTCAACTCTCTATTATTTGTTTTGGAGGAGAGAAAAGGCATGGGCAATTTTACAATGGTGATTCCAGAAATCATTTCTATTTGGCTTTGGAATTTGATGAGAGAGAGAAAAACACACACACATACACACACCCCCCACCAGTACATGCCCAGCCTTGACTTTCTCCAACCTCAGTGTCAGCATCCAGGAAAGGACTGGACAGCTGCAGCAGGAAGGCTCAGAACCCACCGACAGATAAAAGAGAGTTGACTGGGCTTAAACCATTTCCAAAGCACTCTTCACATAGGGGCCATATAAATACCTCAGAGTTCAAAAGCAAATGATTTTGCTGATACCACTTGTAACACCCTTTCACAATAAGGAAGAAACACATGTTACCAGCATCAAGGTTTAAAATATAAAACAGCAGTAATACTTGTCTTGCTGTAGCTATACACAACACACAACCTAGTTATGCTAGCCTACCTTTTATAACACACAAACACATGCTTAGATGCAAAGTAGCATTTGAAGTTTTTTGAAAAACTCATTTTTTCCAAAAATGACACTGAAACACCATAGTTAATACTTTCCTTTTAAAATTATATATTGACATATATTAACATAAAGCATAAACTGACTTATTTTGTATTACATGGAACAATATTTTTTAAAGTTGGTCATATTCTAAATCACATAATCAAAGCCCATTGTTAAATAATAGAAGTTGATGAGGGACCAATCTTTAGTCAAGAAACAAATCCTACATAGAAGATTCATTTAAGTGTTTTGGTTTGTTTGTATTCTTGAGTCATTAAAGGTCTCTGCGGACTCTGGGCAGATAACACAAGACACCATCCTGACTTTTGGACACTGTTCCTCTCCATTCCTTGGCCCCACAACCCACTCCTGTGTAGCTGGAACCCTGAGCAGTGACCCATTCACTATACACACTCTTTGAAGGGAACACACTACAATTCTTGAAACCTGGAATCCTATGGCAGTGAACTTGGAGGGGAGCTCGCTGCAGGTTCAGGGAAATGCATGGGAACCCGTGGCCTCCTTAAAAGGCAAGAAATTTTCTCTCTGATTTGCTCTCTTACATTTGAATCTGAGATAGCAGTCGTTGCAGTACAGTTGGTGGTTTCTGATCCTGACTTCAGCTCCTGAGGAAGAGCCTCCGAGGTCACACTCACAGGCAACACACTGGGGAACAAAAAAAAAAGAACATCTACAATCAGTCAGCTCAAGAAAGCTTGGGGCACTCCTGGGGGTGGGGGGGAAATGAGCAGAATGCTACTTCTAAGCTCTTAGATACATTTCAGCAAAGAAAAAAAAAGGCCGAAAGATGATTAGTAGATTCAAATCAAGACCGCCAGATAAGATGTTAAAGAATTCATAAAGCCAATATTAAGAGCCAAGATGACCAGTCTAAATATACTCCCCAAAAATAGAAATAATTTGCTGATTGACTTTAAGAAATTTAGTTTTTATCCCCCCAGAGGAATGGCAGGTAAGGCCCCCCATGAAAGAAGTGGCCAGAGTGAATGAAGGCTGGGCCCTGGCACTCCACCCTGGGGTGGGCCGCTCCCAGTGTCCCTGCTGCACTAGCTTAGCAAGTGTTCCCACACAGCGCCTCACTTCAAGGCTGGATATTTCGATTCCATGTGCCCAAACTCTAATTATCTTGACTCATTCTGCTGTGCCTAGGAACAGCCCAAGCCAGCAATGGACAGGCTTAAACAAGCTGTGGTCTGCGGGCCTCCAGGATCAACAACCAGAATCTTTCTCTGGCCCAATGCAAGTTCAAGAATCAAACAGATATGTCTTTAGAGACAGAGATTACAAAACCAAACAATTACAGCCTTAGTTCCTTCTTATGTGTGAAAACCTATCAGGTATAAACAGGCTGTGCAATTATAAAAATAGCTACAATGGTAATGGTTTTCCTTACATATTCTTCCTACTCAAAGCTAGGCTTTCAGACACTGTGATAACTGCATGTGTCCCTGCCCTTAACAACACTAGTAGGTTATTTGTAAATTATATTTCAAGTATGCCTCTGACAGCATCTTAGAGAAAGCAACTTATGTACTGTAAATGTATAGAATTCTAACAGATTAGAAATAGAAAATGCAAAATTTTTCCAGATTTAAGTTTTAAAACAAGGTTCAAGATTTGAGAACTAGGGAGGAGCAAGCAATTTGTGACTCAAATGCAGCACAGATGGACGAATACAGCACCTAGCTTGTTAGTGGCACATCTACACCCAGCGGCTCAAAGCAGCCATGCGCTCTCCAAGCAAAGCTTTGCAGGCCTGCAAGCTGTTTGTCTCAGTCTCACCTTAAAACAATGCAAATGATAACAAAGACCCAGGGACTCGATGATCATGGCGGCTCCTTTGCCCAGAATGTTATTGCAGTAGGAGCATATGCGCTTCCCACTGACTGACCTAGATGCAGAACAAGAATGGAATGGAGGCTTTCACCTGGGCAGCTCAAGATTCTTCTTTAAAAGTCACACTCTGCTATTAACACTGATAATAATTTAAGAAAAGCTCTATACATATATCTGTGGGAGAATAACTTTTACCAGCCAACTAAAGAGTGCCTTGATTATACTCTAACTTTGAACCATCTCCATGGCAGCTCTGAGACCCTTGACACCTATTCACATAAATGAGCAATTTCAGTGTAATTAGTCCATCCTGCAGTTTCTGATACTATCTTCCTTTGATCACATCTGTACTCAGCAATAGTCGCCCCTCATCTCATCCACCTACATCTTCTTGCCAGTTAAACCAAAGCACACAATGCTGATCATGTCCTCCTACCCCCTCAGAGCACCAAAAGGGTGGCCCCAGCTTTCTTCAAGAGGCTTTGCAAGTCCTCTACGACCTATTTTTCTCAGACTTATTTTTCGCCCTCTTTCTTGATCACCCAGTTTTCTAGTTACAGAGAAATGTCAGTGCTTTTCCTGACTGTGCCTCTGACTTACAGGATTGTCTCTGCAGGGAAGGAAATGAAAAGTACCTAACAGCTGCCATGGAGAGAGGGGAGGAGGATTTCTACTCTACTTTTGTATACAGGTCTTTTCTCCTCTCCCAGTTGGTAAGGCGGCACCCGTTCTTCCACATCTCTGCACCCCCACAGCATGAGCACGGCGCTTAAGAGGACCACCTCCTAGATCAGGACCTTCTTAGGTCAGAAAAGCCCTCAGCCCCTCCCTCTGCTCTCCCAGAGTGGGTCTCTCCGTCAGTAAATGGGTCCCCCCTCCTCTGTCTTCCTGTCATCCCATAGACTGCACCTCCCTACCGTACCCAAATTTACCCTAAATCTTCACCTCTGTTCTCTCAATTCAAACTCATTGATACACACTTTATATACTAGTACCTGTAAAATTATTTTGGATTTATATAAAACATGTTTTCTTATGAAAGTCTCTTATCTGATGGCTTTAAAAAGTCTTAATATTAATCAATGTGTTTCTACTTTGAAGTATTCCATTTGTGATGGAAAGGAGTACATGCCAACAGCACTTTCTTGGGGTGAGGAGAGCAGCACTGCCCCATATACTTACATGAGGCATGAAAGATCTGTGGAGAAGCCACCCAGACCTAAAAACCCAAGCAGGGCTGATATCTGAGCTTCACTCCACATAAAAACATAACACCCTATCATAACATATACACTTCCCACACCATATTCCCCACCGAATCCAGCTGATGTAGCCTCAACAAAATGTGGGCAAACAGAACGCCCAAGCAATTATTTTCGCAATCAAAAACCCCCAAAGCAAGATCTATCCGACTTTGCATTTCTTTAATCCAGCTAGTCAGAAGTCCCCCAGACGATGGAGCATGCCCGGAAAAGCATTGTAACGCTCTTCTTTTACACTCAGTTCCTGTGAGTTTGTATGACACTGTCATGAAAATAGTCAGCTATTTGACAATACTGATTTCACTCAGAAATTTGAGAAGCATTCGTGAGCTGCTATATGTTTTCATGATTCCACACTGAGAAGTATTCTGGTATGTCTTACATCCAAGACACTGACCACAAACACAGGCAAATGAGACGATGGCAACAAGTAGACACCTTCAAAGTCTCCAGTGGCTTCACAAGACATCTAGAAATGCTATTAGAGTTGCATGGAATGGTATTAAGCAAGCCTTCATTGATTTCATACTAGAATACCAAATTTGACACATTCAAAAGGGCTTCTTTTTCTTCTTCATTGGAAAACTTGGACAGGATTTGGGGGATATTTTAATGAAAAAATACCCAAGACTAAGAGAAGAAAGAGAAACAGCAAGGGCCTCACCTGTTACGCAGCTGAGAGCCTGACTGTGAAGCTGAAGGGGAATGGCTTCTCGGGGTGGGGGACTGTGTGGTGGCCACACCTGTGGTGGAGGTCTTCACGGAGCCAGCTGAAGGTGGGGGCACGCTGGAGGAGGGGTTCCGCATGTAGGCACGGTTTGATGTGGACACCAGCTGAGGTGGTGGGCGACTAAAGTCTTGCACAGAGGAAGAAGCATAGAATCCTGTGGGCTGATTGAGCCAAGGAGGCTGTCTCCAAGAATTGGATCGGGGGGAGTCCAGGTTATCTAAAGATTCGCCTCTGAAACACAAAAAAGACTCATCAAAATAATGTGACATGTTCAACTAGAAATCTATTTAATTCATCATTCCATTCATTAAAAATCCATTTTTATATTTTATATGTGGATATTAATCTAAGTATTCTAGTTACATATACAGATGTTCCTTGATGTATGATGATGGGGTTATGTCTCAATAAACCCATCATAAGTTGAAAATACTGTAAGTCAAAAATACTTTTACTTCACCTAAACTACCATACATTGTAACTAAGCCTAATCCACCTCAATCATGCTCAGAACACTTACCTTAGCCTACAGTTGGGCAAAATCAAGCAACACAAAGCCTATTTTACAACAAAGTGTCAAGTATACAATTTACTGAATACCGTACTGGAAGTCAACAACAGACTGGTCATACAGGTACTCAAAGTACAGTTTCCACAAAGGCTTATCACTTTCACATCACTGTAAAGTCAAAAATCTTAAGTCGAACCACTGAAAGTTGAGAACCACCTGTAAAATTACCTTTAACAAGTAAAGTTGATCTTCATCATCAGTGGCATCATGTTTCATAGTCAATCAACCTTCTTTTTTTTAATCTGTTTTCTTTCCAACTTTTATTTTAGGTTTAGGGGATACACGTGCAGGTTTGTTACATGGGTCAAGTGAATGTCATGGTGGTTTGGTGTACAGATTATTTCATCACCCAGGTAATATGTGGACTGCCAGAGAGGTAGTTTTTCGATCCTCAACCTCCCACACTCCACCCTCAAGTTGGCCATGGGTGTCTACTGTTTCCTTCGTTGTATCCATATGTACTCAATGTTTAGCTCCCGCTTACAAGTGAGAACACCTTTGTTTATTTTTATTTTTATTTACTCAGTGCTTAGGTAAAACAATAAATACCAACCACAGAAGAAATACACTAAGAAAAATATTTTTAAAATAAGAGCTAATACTCTACTAAGTCTAAGAAGATTGATACTTATCCTTTAAATCTTCAACAGTTTAGACATAGCAAATATAAAGCCTTTTAAAAATTCAAAGAAATACATTTTAAGAGCTTAAATATCACAAGCATTAGGTTAGATACCTTCACAAAAATATTAAACTTATTGAATCTTCATAACACTAAGATTTTTTTTTTAATCTTACAGAAGTGAGTTTGTCATAGGAAAAGCCAGTCAATGGTGGCACTGGCTTTCAAACCCAAGTCCTCTAAAACAACCCAGACCATGCCTCCTGTGAAGGTCTCATTTATGTAGCACCTGAATCCCTAAATTTAGCAACTGTTTAATGTCCACATTATAAAAGCATTTATCAGCCACTTCCCTTAAAGTACATATTCTTTTAAAATCAGATTTAGCTCCCAAATAGATTTAAATACAACTTTTGCAAAATCTCTCTTAAAATTCATGTACTAACATTAGTACTACCTACAAAAATGAACTCAAAATTATGAGAATTCATCTACCTAGTCACATTTATTTTTATTGCTTTCAAAACTTTATCTTATCCCAAGCTTGAAATTTTTCTTTTAAATTTTAACATTATAAAAGTGATACATTATCATAAGGAGAAAGACTGAAGCTGCAGAGAAAGGCATCTGAGGGAGAAGAAAAGTCCTTCCTGTCTCACGACTCACCTGCCCTAACCCGCAGAGGTATCCACCATTACTTGTGTGTCCTTCCAGACCTTTTCTCACATATGCAAGCACATATTTACACATACATACAAATTTACATATGTAAGTATAGATGTGTCTATATACATATGCAATGTGCTTGTGTTTAACAGTCTTAAACAAATGGATTATTCCACAACACAGTTTTCAATAACTTCTTTTCCATTTAATATGTATTATCTTAGAACTATCGTCATTCTGCTCATATGATAAGACTGTACTTCAGTGGCCTCCAGTGAACCATGCCTTTTGGTATCCACGCCCTTGTGTAGTCCCCTCCCACTGACTCTGGGGTGAGTCACATGACTAATTTGGCCAATGGGGCATCAGCAAACATGATGCACATGGCAGCTTGATAAGCACTTGCTTATTAGGCATTGCCATGGTGCGAGATTTTCCTCTTTGAACCCAGGTCCCATGCCATGGGGTAGCCCAAAAAACTATGTGGAGAGGCCCATATGCAGAACACAGGCCCCTCAACTAGTAGCTCTGGCCAAGCTCTCAGTGAAGCCTCTACAGCTACAGGGGACAGCAAATTACAGCCTACTGCCAAGATAGACACAGCTCACGAGCTGAGACTTTTTTCACATTTTCAAAGAGTCTTAAAAAAAAAAAAGAATGTGTGGCAGAAACCTATGTGGCCTGTAAACCCTAAATTATTTACTCTCTAGTCCTTATACATAAAAGCTTACCAATCCCTACTGTAAATGATTACAGCTGCTCAAGTGTCCCAGCCAACATCATGCAAATAACTGCCCAGTCAATCTTCAGGACTGTGAGAGATTGTGAGTTACTGTCTTAACTCACTAAATTTGGAGGTGGCATATTATGTAGCAACACTTTTCTTTCATTCTTCAATAGTCATATAGTGTTCTGTCTGATCAGTATGCCACTGTTTATTGAATAACTACTGAGTATCTCCTTACTAGCAGACATTGTGATTTTCTTTTCTTTTGCCATTAATGAATAATGTGTAAGTGTACATCCTTGAATGTACCTTTGCATATTTATCCAAATATATCCAGAAGATAGAGTGCTAGAAACTACATTGCTCAGAGGGTCAGATATATAAACTTTTGCTTAATACATACTGAAAAACTGTCCAACCAAGTGGAAAGAAGAACTCCTATTTCCATATACAATTGTCAATATTAAATTTAATCAATTTTAACTCTTTACAAATCCAGTGAGCAAAAGAGATACATTATTGTTTTAGGACTAGTATTGATGTTTTGTGTTTATTGGCTTTGTGTTTCTTTTTCCTACGAACTATCTGTTCATATCCCTTTGTCTTTTTTCTTTTTTTATACAGAGTCTCTTGCTCCGTCATCCAGGCTGGAGTGCAGTGGCAAGATCTCAGCTCACTGCAACCTCTGCCTCACGGGTTCCAGTGATTCTCCTGCCTCAGCCTCCTGGGTAGCTGGGATTACAGGCACACATCTATTTTTTATAGAGTTGGTAGGGATAATTTTCTGATTTTTACAAAGTTATTAATATATTGACATAATTAGCTCTTTCTCTGTGATATGTTACAAATAAATTCCCCAGTCTGTCAGATAAGAAAATACTGAATCAGAGTAGC
Organism: Homo sapiens; assembly: GCF_000001405.40. Lineage (NCBI taxonomy): Eukaryota > Metazoa > Chordata > Mammalia > Primates > Hominidae > Homo > Homo sapiens. The sequence continues at coordinate 75,849,842 of NC_000013.11, read as the reverse complement.
TGCATTCATTTACCCAAGATACATCTTTTAAAATGTTCCTGCACTCATTTCCAATTAATATCTATACCTTTATCTCCTTAAAGTTATAAAAATTAGGTTTATCACTTTGTGAATCCAATTATCAAGATTCCAATCTAATCATTATCTCATTAGAAATATAAAAATATGAAACTTCTATTTGTTGAAGTTCAGCAGCCAAGAAAGTTCTAAGAGCACTGTGCATTATTTAAGCATCTGAACCTCACTTCAGAATGCCCCATCCAGATTTGCAATCTATTAACCATGTGATTTTGTCAGCGTCTTGCCTGCTTGAGTCAAAGTTCCCTCATAGTAAAAAAAAAAGAAAAAAAAAAAACAGCCAGAATTATTATCCCTACCTCAATATGTTTTCCTCAGATTAGATGTGGTCATGTAAACTGACACATAATAGTGCCCAGAGCGTTCGCTCTATGTTCCTTTCATCTCTTCTGTCCAAAGCACCAGGATGTCTACAAATTAAATATCTGCCTCACAGTAAAGACAAGAAACCAATTCCTAAGATGTCTCGCACCTTCTCATGATCCCAGGAAGACTAACAGGCTCTTTGTTGACACTGGCACTGCGCTGTCGGATCCAGCTGTTGTCATTGTGAAGGGGTGTTCTCTTCCTCATTTCCTGAAGGATTTGTTGCCTCTCCAATTCTGCTCCTGATGGTACTTGTTCTTTCTTGGATCTCCTCTGTGAAGAGGTCATGTTCCCAATTTGGTCTAAATATTTATTGTTTCCTAAATTAAAAACAAATCAAAAGCTTTGGGATTAGTACCTTTTAAAAGTGACAGTGATGATTGACATCACTAGTGATCAGGGAAATGCAAATCAAAACCATAATGTGATACCACCTTACTCCTGCAAGAATGGCCATAATCAACAACTCAAAAAATAATAGACGTTGGTGTGAATGCAGGGAAAAGGGAGCACTCCTACGCTGCTGGTGGGAATGTAAACTAGTACAACCACTATGGAAATCAGTGTGTAGCTTCCTGAAAGAACTATAAGTAGGTCTACCATTTGATCCAGCAATCCCACCACTGGGTATCCACCCAGGAGGAAAAGATGTCATTATATGAAAAAGATACTTGCTCACCCATGTTTATAGCAGCACAATTTGCAAGGCAAAAATGTGGAACCAACCCAAATGCCCATCAATCAATGAATGGATAGAGAACATGATATATATATATATACTGGGTATCCACCCAGGAGGAAAAGATGCCATTATATGAAAAAGATATTTGCTCACTCATGTTTATAGCAGCACAATTCGCAATGCAAAAATGTGGAACCAACCCAAATGCCCATCAATCAATGAGTGGATAAAGAGAATGTGAGATAGTTAGATAGATAGATAGATAGATAGATAGATAGATAGATAATCGCATGGAATACTACTCAGCCATAAAAAGGAATGAATTAATGGCATTTGCAGCAACCTGGATGAGATTGGAGACAATTATTCTAAGTGAAGTAACTCAGGAATGGAAAACCAAACATCGTATGTTCTCACTTGTAAGTGGGAACTAGGCTATGAGGATGCAAAAGCATAAAAATGACACAATGGACTTTGTGGACTCAGCAGGAAAGGGTGGGAAGGGGGTGAGGGACAAAAGACTACAAATTCAGCTCAGTGTATACTTCTCGAGAGATGGGTGCACCAAAATCTCACAAATCACCACTAAAGAACTTACTCATGTAACCAAATACCACCTGTTCCCCAAAAACCTATGGAAATAAAAAAATTTAAAAATAAAAAATACAAATACAAAATGACAGAGGAGAGATGGAGTTGATGTAACAAATAAATAAAGTGTATTTGAAATTGCAGCCTCAATAAATAAATAAATAGTGACTGGATAAATCGCCCATGGCAGTGCAGCTTAAAATGTGGCATTGTGCACGTGTGCTAACATTATCAATTCTCAGTGAGGGTGCTGCATGAGAACATAAAGTAACTGTCTCCTACTCCAGAAAGTCCAGTTCCACAGCCAGAGCCACACCACAGAACACACTTGGGAAAATGAAAAAGGCTGCCCAAAAAGGCAACAATCAGTACTGGTTTCAGTATTACTCAGTTACAAAGTGCTCATCTAGACATAGTTTTTCTTCCACTCTTCCTTTCCTAAATTAAATCAATCAAGAACATGCTCAAATGCTTGCTGTAACAACTCTAAAAGGAAACAGGGAGTTTTCTTCTCTCAAAAAATATATACTCTCCCTGGGGAGAGAGGACATAAACGCACATATCTCTGGCTGACATGACCCAAGTGTGCATGGTATAAGTGACAACCAAAATTGTAAGAGTAAGAGCACACTCAATCATGGAAATGGCTTTTGTGAACAGGAAAAATATTCAAGCAATCCAAATAATCATCCATAAATGTTACTAGACTTGCTTCTACTCTAAGAAGCTGACAGAACTATAATTTGAATGTTGAATTTATTCATGACAATTAAGTCAGGTTTTATCGTGAGGACTCTGTCTCTTGGATTTGGCGATTAGTTTCTGATTGGGGTAAAACACCCACAACTTTGACGTATCATTCCCACCTTAATCTGGATTAGGAAATTGCATCTAAGGATTTATTTTCTTTCTCTACATTTATTGCTACTGCCATTCTTTCAAAATTTATTGTTTGTCTATGCCTTGGTTCATCTTCCACTAAGCAATGAGCAAGACCAAAGGTTTCTTATACAACTATACTTACATTTGTGTACATACAAAGCTTATCAATTTGGTCAGACTTTAAAGAAATGTTGCCTTTTTTTTTTTTTTTTTTGAGACAGAGTCTGCTCCGTCACCCAGGCTGGAGTGCAGTGGAGCGATCTCGGCTCACTGCAACCTCTGCCTCCCGGGTTCAAGCAATTCTCCTGCCTCATCCTCCTGAGTAGCTGGGATTACAGGCACATGCCACCACGCCTGGCTAATTTTTGTATTTTTGGTAGAGATGGGGTTTCACTATGTTGGTCAGGCTGGTTGGATTACAGGCGTGAGCCACCGTGCCTGGCCTCTTTTTAAAGTGTCATTTTGGTATAACCAAGTTTTTAAATCAAATATTTAATAACTTCCACTGCCTGCTATCCAAGAGCTTGCAATGAGTTAATAAAGGGGGGAAAACATATATACAAAATAATCCGATTAATGACACAAGCCACAAATATTAACAAGATTATTCCGGAGATTCACAGTTGCAGTTACTGACAGGTCTTGTGTTTATGTTCAGGAGAGATAATATAATCGCTGCAGGTTAAAAATATTTCATGGAATACTGAAGTACTTAAAACTATAATTTTAATGGTGGCTAAAGGCAAGTTCAGGGGAGAAGAAATGGAAAATACAAATAGGGAAAGGTAAGACCAGAGGAACCAGATCAGAAAAGTACGTGATAAATTGGGAACTGAGAAAGATAATAATGTGGTTATAGTTACGGACCCATTAACAGAAAAATAGCAAGATCAGCTGGAAAGTTAAACTAGAACCAGATAACAAAGGTCCTAACTGCTCAAAGAAAGGGATAATCATAGAACTGTGAATCCCAATAAAAACTGTAAGTTCTATAAGCTTTAATGAGAGGTTAAACTAGCTGCCACCAGACTATCTGGCCTGTAGATAGGTTGTTTTGCTCACAGGGCATTTTAGTTTTTTAAAAAAATCTCTTGTCAGCACATGAAAGATAACACATGAAAACAGATTTTTTTTTTTTTTAACTTTTCTGTTACAACAGGAAGAGTAGGCAGAGGGTTGCCTTCTCCAGCATGGCAATGATAGGCTGGAGCTGGGCAGTGGCTATCCAACATGATGGGCATGTTGACCTCAGCCCTACCTGGACCTTCATTCATTCATGTAAATGACCAGCCGCCTGCTTATGCAAATCCTGATATGCAAACCCTGCTTAAAATGGTAATTACCGCTTAGGGTTTTTTTTCATAGTTACATAATTTCTGCTATATGCATTCTTCAGAAACATATTTTATACTGACAATGTCAAGTCCAAATTGTTTCTGCACAATTACTGAAGTCATAATTTTTGATTTTTTGACATTTTGGCATTTACATGTATAATTCGAATTAGTATGCAATTTTTAAGTCCTCCAGTATTTCGTAGACATCTTTTCTGTACTATTTCTTCAGCTGCAAGATAAAATCTACTATACATAGCTGCATCAGCATCGCTTTGCAAAATTCCCACATATTTCATTAGCAATTTAAAACCATTTTAATCTCCCAGTATTTTTCAATATAAAATAAAGCCAAAAGTAAACACAAGATAGTTGTTTTGCTGTTTTTATATACAGAGGTTAAAATACTAAGTATTTTAATTAAGTAATCTTAATGAATCTGAAATATCTTGACCTTAAAAATACTTCTCATAACATGATACCACAAATAAGCAACTCTGAAGGAGTTTGGGGGAAAATATCGCATTTACCATTTTTATTTGTGGAGTAATCATCCAGTTCAGTAGTAGATCTGGATTTATTCCTAAAACACAGAACACAATATATTAAATATGTCTCATTAAATAACCTCCTTTATATTTATGAAGTAAAAACACCGAAGAGATTGCTTTTTAAAGCAGTTGATTTATTTTCTGTGTCTGCTGAGAGCAATTATGTTTAAACCAAGAAATTTTTCATCTTTCACAAACTCACAGAAAACCTTGACATCCTTAAAAAAGAGAAGAGTGAAATGCTGGAAATAGATACAAACACGTGACAGTACTTCTCCAGTTTGTATGATGATGAAGACTATAAGTTATTGATCAATTGTTGTCGATGTTCACCCTGGTCCAGATCTCAGTCCTACCAGGCTTACAAACCATCTGCCATCAGATCACCTACAGTCAGACTGTCCCACTTCCCCCACACTCCCCAGGGTTATCATGTCAACTTCTTGGGCATTAGAGTGCCACTGACTACTGTGGAACATTAATTTACCAAATGCCATCTTAGTGTTCCAAAGAGGTACTAAAGCATACAGCACAGTCAACTTCTGGAAACGCCTTAAGTTTGTACCAATAAAATGTAGGTGTATAAATCAACACATGCTAATCTCATTCCCATTCTGCTAGACACACTGAACTTTGAAAATAATAGTGGTGGCTGGGCTTGGTGGCTCACTCCTGTAATCCCAGCACTTTGGGAGGCTGAGGCGGGAGGATCACTTGAGGTCAGGAGTTTGAAGCCACCCTGGCTAACATGGTGAAACCCCGTCTCTACAAAAATACAAAAACAAGCTAGATGTGGTGGCATGCGCCCGTAGTCTCAGTTACTTGGGAGACTGAAGTGGGAGAATCACTTGAACCCAGGAGGTGGAGGTTGCAGTGAGCTGAGATCACCCCACTGCACTCCAGCCTGGGCGACAGAGCGAGACTACGTCTCAAAAAAAAAAAAGAAAAAAACAAAAGAAAAAGAAAATAATAGTAGTAATGACAATATATAATATACATTATAATATGTAATATTATACTTATGTACATATATGTATATATTACATATGTGTAAATCCAATAATTTATAATACATAATGTATCATAAGTGGTAGACAGCTGCACTTGTGAATAATTTCACTTGTATCAACATAGAAGAAAACACTTATTACCAGATGTCTAGCCACACTCCTTGATGCCTCTAGGGCATGCTTTATCTGGACTGCCTGCAGGTATTCATATTTTCCAGGCTTCCTTAAGTTTCCTTTCTCTGCATTTTAATTATTTTCCCCAAGGTCATGAGCTATATAAATAAAGTTTTTGTAAATATGTAAGTAAATCCATAACTTTTAAAAGGAGATAAACATTTTAATGATTTACAGTTACCCAGAAAGATTATAAACAAGGTCATCTATCACTAGATTTTTCTTTAGCTTATTGTCAGCCCATTACTACCTGCTTGTCCCTTTCCTTTTCCCCTTTTATTCTGAGCCCTATTCAGTCATCCCGGCTGCTTGTAGATACAAGTCTTTCCTTATATCTAATAAGTAAGACAAAAGGAGAAATTTCAGCTCTGAAAACACAAGGTAATGGCCCTACCCTCAATATTTGTTTGACAGACTGTTTAGAAGTCCTTAGTGATTTCAAAACTGCAAAGCATTTTAAAAATTGCTTTAAAACATTAAAACAATGTTTTAGGAAATTTTAAGATACATGTAACTTTCCAGATATCTGAAATTTTATCTTTATTCCCCAAAACTGACCAGTAGTTCTAACCAAACTGCCTCAGAGAAATGTCACCATTCCCATTTCAGATGTCCATACATAACCCTTTGGGGAGTAATGTGAAGCCATTATTCATAACCTTTTTAAAATGAAGATTATGTTGGATTACAGAAAATTGACACAGTTCTTTCCCGGCCGTGTCCATTCCCCTTGCAATGTGATTCCTACCATAAAGAGGCAGTGTTCTTCTCTTCTCCACGACCTGTGACTGTGACTTTAGACAACTTAAACCTCAAGATGCCTTGCAGATTTCCTCTCTTTAATTCTCTTTCCCCTGCCTCACCACCACGTATACATAAGACCTTCCTGGCTCAGCGGATATCAAAAGGCACATGACCCAGTTGTTCTCACAGCCCCAGCTGACAGCCAGCCAACCCCCAAAAGCAGAGCTGCCTAGTTAATAGGTAGCAGATATATGAGCAAGCCCAGTCAACTAAAAGGCTGCCCAAGGGAGATCAGCCTAACATGCTGACCATAAAATCATAAGCTAATTCATTAAGTTCACGAATAGTTGTTACACAGCAAAAGCTAACTGATACAAAGATCAACCAGCAATTCCTCTTTATACCCCACAAATGACAAAGGGCTAAAGTAGTTCTACAAATCATCGATGCAAGCTCTGGAATATTGTCTGAAGCCATTATCATCAATTAAATTACAATAACATGCTCTACATACCTGTCACCAGGAAGAAAACCTGAAGATGCTTCTTCTGTCTTTGGTATATCATAGGAATCAACAGGCCTAAAAGATAGAAAAAGATTTTGTTGTCAAAATATTAGACTTTAAGCCCTTCCCTGAGTTTAAGAAAAGGGTATCAAAATAATGTCATTCTAGCCTCTTTATGCAAATGGTCTTTGGGTTAAAAACTAAACATACAAAGGTATTTCAATGAATAACCACAGAAAATAGACCCACTATTGCCAACAGACATTTGCAAGCCATTCATTCTACAAATACATACTGAGTCCCCACCATATTCCAGTACCACTCTAAGAATGGGCTATAGGAGTACACAAAACAAACTTACTGACTTTATAGCACTTACATCTTACTGCAGCAGGCAGGCTAACAGATAAACAAATAAATGCACAATATAAAATAAGAGTATACAGAGAGAAAGAGTGAGAAGGGGCCTGTATTTTAAATCAGGTATTCTAGAAAAGTCTAAGGAGGTGATGTTTGAGCAGAAACTAGAAGAAAATGAGAACACAAGACACACAAACATTTGATGACTTCTCCAAGCAGATGAACTAGAAAATACAAAAGTCCTTGGGTATTTTCAAGGAAGAAACAGGAGGCCAATGGGGCTGGAACAGAGTGAGTAAGGGGAAGAGTAGAGGTACTACAAGGTAATGTAGCTCATGGCAGCCTTCTAGGCCTTGGCAAGGATGCTGGATGGGGTTCTGATGTGACAGGAAGTGACTTGGAGTGTTATGGGTGGTGAAGCAAGATGACATGGCAGGGTTTATGATTTAAAGGTTCTCTTTGGTGGCTTGTATTCACTTGTGTGGAGAATGGGTGGTAGGAAACAGGAAGAGCAAGCGGGTGCCTTTGAAGTGGGGAATGGATACAGCTAAGCCTTTGTACCCTCTGGCTGTGGGGACATACCTCCTGTACTGGTATATTCTGACTGATGTTTCCCGCTCTATCTCTGCCTGGCGCTTCTGCTCCTCCGCAGGACGCTTCTGCTCCTCAGCCTCAGCCTGAAGCCGCTTTTGCTCTTGCTCTTCCTGAAGCTGTTGCTCCCATTTCCTCTCTCTCTCAATAACAAGCTGATCCTGCGGCTTCTTTCCTTGGTCCTCATGAACAACTTCCTCTTGTGGCTGTCTCCTCTCCTCTTCTCCTGCTCGGGTTCCTTCTCTGTCTGAAGACTTGGACCCTTCACTCCAGGTAGCTTCCCAGGTGGCAAGAGAGGGCTCCCGTGTGGTCAGAGACATGCTGTTTGAGCTTAGGACCATCAGTTCCTAGGTGACCAGTGAAAAAAGAAATCCATCTAAATCTGTTTATTTCCGTAATTTCATATAGACACATATATATTCAGTTTTAGATGCTACTAACTATAGTTGGCCCAGGACTCCACTCAAAAAACATGTTAAGAGTTTTTACCACTAAAGAAGCTACACATGAGTGACTGAGATGTAACTCAGAAGAGGAAGATGCACTGAAGTTCTATTAACATAATTTGTTAATGATGTACTATAAAAACTAGGAGAAAGGCTGCAACATCCAAGCAAAATTCTAACAAATCAGAGCTCATTGTATTTTTCAAAGAGCTACACAGGTGAACATATGGTCAAAGGTGGAGAAAAATGAAGTGTCTCCTGATTCTCAGCTAATCTCACCAACAAGGTAAAGAGAAGAAAAACTAAACAGGCATGTTCTAACACTACCTCATCCAAGTACTTGGAATTCTCTCTCTCTGCCTCCTGTTTGGCCCTTTGCCACTCTTCCCTCAGTTTCTCCTGCTCACGTTGATATTTTTCCTATAAGAAAATATGACATATATTAATCCAATAGATTAACTCTTCACATTAGGAATCTTCTTTATTAACACTTTTATGATCTCTAAACCTTCAACCTCAAACCTTTAAAGACCATGATTTATTTTCATAAGCCAATCAGATTTTAGTCCCTATAGTAGAAAAGAGCATATATTGAATTAAAACTGCAGGCACTGGGGTAAAAAGGTAGACACTGAGAATTAAACCCCCATCCACCCTTTACCATGGCTCTAATTCATTAAGGCCTCTAGCAAACTGTAAGCGGGGGCTGAATTACTCTGCAATGGACCCAGCAAACAGTTTATGGGAACCAAGTCATCACAAAGTCTGTGCACTTCACACCCCCTAAGTGAGTGCCCTTCATACTCTACAAAAACACACATGGGGGTTAATAAATAATGATTTTTAAAGGATGACTCTGGAAATCTTCAAAATGGAAAAGTAATTGTTTTATGGAAAATGTACTGTGTGCAAAAATATTTGTTAGTTGTGAGATTGTTGCGTTTAAAATTAGTTTCTCAATACTGGTTGACAGACTGGAGAAAAGCCGTGAAATCCAACCTAGTTTCTACCCGTCCACGTGAGCCAGAGCTACCTGCAGTAGGCGGTCCTGCTCCTTCTGCCACCTCTCCTGCCGCTTCCGCTCCTCCTCTTGATCCCACACCCAGCGACTCGGGGCACTGATGGTTGGAACTGGAAGCTAACCAGTTATCAGAGAAGAGATGCAAATAGAGAACAACATAACTTCATTAAGTCATCTACTGAACCACTTTTGCACACATAAATTATTCATATCACAGTTTGCTTAAACTGTACCAAGGGAGAGCTGGCTTTGAATTTTAAAATAAGTTTTTCAACTTGGAAGGATAACTCTCTGATAAATTCTTATGCAACCTAAAATCATGGTAAGCATGCTACGGTGTACTAATTCAGTCCCACCAAGTTCACCTTATTCCAAATGACAAATGAATGCTACTTACATCAGGAACCACCGAATCAGAGCTTCCTGTGTTGCAGCACATGGGCAAGGAAGAAAAATATACAATATAAGTCTTCATTTCTATGAAATAATTCCTTTCAGAAACTTCTATCATTAGCTGTCTCTATGCCAGTATACTAAGTGACAATGTTTTTTTAAACAATAGTCAGTAAATCCTTTTTTCTCCAGGTGTAACAGTTCCATCTGTTACTCATCTTTCAAATTCAAAGTTAGTAAAAGGAAGATACAGATGCCAAAATAAACCCTAGCTCTAGGTATTAGAGTAGGATCAATGGATATTTCTGAAGAAGCTTCAGGGTTCTTTTATTAATAAACTGGGCAGCATCTCATAGTTTGGCCTAACAGGAAAAAAAAAAAAAAAAAGAATTTCAAATGTTACAACATCTACCAAATCCCAATTTTTTACTTGCCACTACTCACAACATGACAGCTGCAAGTCACATTTTTCAAGCCTTCTTACTAATGAGCCACTTTCGTAAGCAAGTCACCACAACAAACATGTTCAAGAAACAATTTCCTTTTTCTACTCCTATTGCTTGAAACACACGTATTCAAACTTCATATGTAAACTTATGGGTACAGTCTTATTCTTTTTATTCTTAGGGGACCTATGTAAGTATACCTTTACATAGAACAATGATTATTTAAAAAGTAAAACTTCAGAAAATACACTATCATACAGTACTTTTAAATGTTCTTGAAACCTCAGCTGTCAAATAAATTCTTCACATACAATTTTTTAAATAAAATTGCTTTGAGACCTAGAAAAATACTCTTCCCTAGAATAGCCTGTTGAAGAAAAATGGGAGAAAATTAGAACAGAGAAGGAAGAGAAATTGCTTTATTTTAGCCAGTGTTAGGAAGGAGTATCATACTGTTTCAATTAAATAGCCATAGAAAAACAGGAATTTTATTTTAAAATATAAATCAAAAACACTAAGGATACTGACACAAATAGACTTGCATAGCTGGTAAGATACTTCTGTTTATGGTCCAAAAGAGACCTTAATCCAAAGGAATGATATTAGGTGATTAACACAAAATACACAAACCCAATAAGTACTGTGTTATAAGGCACGTTTGTAAACGTGTTAATAGTCTTAAAAGTAAGAAACAGTAACATTTTAGATGGCAACAGCACAATATCCTCTGACCATTGCATCTCAAATGTTGACTATTACTTTTAAGTTCTTAGTAGCAAAACAGAGCTTGAACGGCATTCATGTGACAGAGCATTAGGCAAACGTGACACGGGAGCAAATGTCACATGCACAGCACATTGTGAGGCAGCCCTGCCCAACTACACCAACACGGAGAATCTCAAAACGCACCTGTTCTCAGATGCAACCAAAATGTATTTACTTTGAATTTACTTCAAAGTCAACAGAGCAGTCAAATCAACACTCCAAAGCCACCATCCCATAGCAAAAATAACTCTTCTTTATTAACAGTGTTTTCCACAACCAAAAACAAGTCAGGTTTTTAAAAACTTGGCCAATTGCATGTTGGTGTAATCTAATATTATGCAATTTGTAGGAAGCAGTAAGGCTTAAATGAAATTCCTCATTTCTTACTGTTACCCAGTGGAAACAAGTGTGTGTTTAAGAGCATCTCCCTTTTTTTTTTTTTTTTTTTTTACAAAGTTAAAAAAAAAAAAGTAAAATGTTTAGAGGTATACAAAGGACACACAAAGACCCATTACCACAGAGGTAGACCCATGAACTGTAAGAAAAGCCTGATGACCCTAGGGAAAGAATGGAAATGGGTTATGTCGCTTGGTCATAATGACAGACAAATTGAAGAGGCTCAGTGCCCAGCACCACAGACCATGAGGAAGAGTGGAGAGGGAGAACAATTCCATGAAAGTGCATGAATTGTTAGCTTTGTGGTTTACCTTGTTCAAAAAATTGTGATCGCCTTTTTAAGTTTTTCAAAGAAATGGATTCAGATGCTAGTTGAAAAAAAAATAAACACTATGTCATTCATTTTTATTTCTCACCATTGGTAAATTAAACGATACTTGATATACCTTTCCAATCTGTAGCAATATTATTTTAAAAGATCACAAAACTGATAGCCATAGAAGATATAGATTATTTCAAGGCACAGGGACACACAATTTTAGTAGCCTACATTACATTCAAATTAGTAGAAGGAATGAATATTTTTATTAATAAACTTTAGCATATAGCATGATAGTTTCACAGCTATGAAAAGCCAAAGTATCATCTTCCATGCTAGATCACGCCGTTTTAGGGAAAAGGAAATCAATATTTTTTGCTTAGGTTAAACAATCCATAATCTTGTCTACTACCTGGAAAACTGTCTATAACAAACAGTTTTCACAACATTTATGAATAAGAAGTGAAAAGTAATGGGGAAGAAAACAAAACAAAATGATACCCAAAGAAAGATCAAAGAAAACAAAATACTAAAGTTACGACCACCTTCTAACTAGAATTTTTTGACCTAGTTTTCAAGATCTGGTAGCTACTACTATTAAGTAAAGCAAATGGAGTTCCACCAAGAAAACAAAAGAAAAACATTCTGACTTCTCCCATAGATCTGTCACAAGACTATGGCATAAAATGTACCTATGATTATTACTTGATACTAGTTAGTGCTTACTTATCTAAACAAAACCTTCCAATGACAGGGCCCACGTATAGTCCCCTAGTCGTCATAGAGCTAGATGTCTGATCACCTATCTCACCTGAGTCACTGCGGAATAGGACCCGGTGCTTTACATGTAACATCACAGAGAAAACTAAGCAAAGTTTGCTTTAAAAACTCCTTTGATAAAGAATGCAACTGAAAACAAAATATAGTCACTTCTGTCTATCAGAAATGAAATACAAAATTAAATAATCGATGAGGAAAGGGAAATTTATATATTTAGGTTGGCTTTAAGAAAATGTATTATAAACTATCGAATGTAGATTTAAAGCCACCAAAGCACTGTGAAAACCCAGTCCCATTCTTGGCAGTCTAGGTTCATGGCAGAAGAGGTCTCGTCTTCTTTGGGTTTCTTCCCCTGCCTACATGACCGGATCTATTCTTATTTTTCTGTGCCCAAGGAATAGCACACGATGTATGCTAGCTAAATTATTTCTGGATGGGCAGAAGAAGAAAGATGGAGATAACTCCAAAATTTCCCTAGATATTTTGCCTTCTTTGTCATTACAAATGGGTACATCTGCTAATGACTTTATTGCCACTGGCATTTCCCTCTTACAGCTAACTGCCTCCAAGCTTGTCCCTTTCACAATAAAGAAGAAAGGAAACTTCATTCATAGTTTCATGCTTAACTAAGATTCCCATTGCCAGCATACCCTAGCAAGAAAGCTGACGGCCTCAGGAAGAACCAGTCTTTCTTATTTGACTTAGGCACTCAGGCACTCAAAGCTCCGGAACATGCTGCCAAAGCTTTGTTTGCAGTGCCTGAACTATTCAGCACTGGAACTGAACGCCCTTCCACCTGGCTGCAATTGGATCTGCGTGTTAACCTTTTAGTTTCAACTTGCAGTGGATCACTTTTTCTTTCACTCACAGATATTAATTTTTATAACAGCAGAACTTGAGTGCTATGTCTTTTCCTGTATTATAAATGTAAGTTATAAAGGTGATATTTACCTTTTGATTCAAAAGCATTGCTTTCATCATGAATTCCATTGATTTCTTTGGATTCAATATTCTGGAAAGGGTAAAAATGCTAGTTAATATTCTCTCCAGTTGGACTTTGGCCTTAAATAATGCATTTCGCATTAGTGAAATATATATTTTAACAAGATGAGTTTCTCGGGATATTGATGCATTCCTTACAGCCTTTTACATGTAGTAGAAACTTAAGTTTTTTCATTATACTTCAATATTTGTGGCAGAATTAATGACCAGCTGCAGGCATGGATGAGTTTAAGTTTAATCGATCATTAATTTTCCAAGAAATAAAATCAGCTAGATAATCATTAGTCCATTTGGCTTATATTTATGAGTACACAAAACAGTCATATAGGATTCTCAAACACTTAAACATTTCTTATACAATATAGTAAGAGCTCCTTATTAAATAAAAGAGTTATACCTTGAGATGATAACACAATCTAAGGAGTGAGTATAAGTGCATAATATTTAGTTGAAATTTAAATTTAATTATTAATTTAAATGAACAATTTGTATCATAAATAGAAACCACATGACTTCAAAGTCTACAGGAAAAAGTATTGCTTTGATACTTAGAAAAATTTCTACATTATATTTTTGATCAAATTAATGAAACTGATTATCTCTTAACCACATATGTAAGTCTACCCATCAAATTCACCTACACAAAAACTAAAAATGCTTCATGAAGTTTTACATTACACCCAACTATTAACTTTATTTGCCAGTAAAGACTAAGGAACGCATAAAGAAGTTATAGTTTATAATTTTATGTAATTGCTACTTCATGCTCACAAAGATCTGAGAGGTGGGTCTAATGATGAAAGATTGGTGGAAAACACCTGCAAAACAACATTATGGGGTCTTTGGATTTTACCATTATATAACTCACAACTACTCTATGAGGAATGCCTATGATTTTCAAAAATATATTTTACTGTATCTCTTTACTATAATTTACATTATTCAATCATTTACATTTTAAAGTTAGCATCAAAATTGTACAAACAAAAGAAATTATTTTCTTCCATACACAATTCTAACAGCTGCTTTACTCCACACCAGTACTTCCTACTTCTCCAAATACTCACAGAACTCTGAAGGCTTTCGGAGAAATCAGTTGTTACAGATAGATTTGAAGATTTTTCTGAGTTGTAAATTCCAGAAGTTGCATCAATCCACTTTGTTTCAGGTGAACCTATAATTTTGGTAGCCATACTGGTGAGATTGAGGGTTTTATGCCGTATAAATGGCAGGGAAGGTTGGTCTTTGCCCCAGTCTGATTGGCACATGAAGATCAAATGAGTACACATAGATGTTGAAGTGGAAAGAATAAAGTCATTGAATGCACATATATATAAAAAAAAATCTACATATACAAGACAAACAAATCAGGCAGCGTGTGAAATAAATCAAGAGTTTAGGGCTTTTTACCAACAGACCACCTTCCCAAAACACAAGGGTTAAATCATGTTAGTAATGAAAAAACTAGCAAATTTGCTGAATCTTTCCCATAAACCAGGATAGATATTTTATTTTGATATCATAAGTTGGTAGGTCTGCAGAGGCTTAATGCCTTTTCCCATCTAGCCTCTATAATTAAGAAACACATTAATGGAATGCACATTGAAAGTTCTTTGAGAATAAATAGAAATATGACCTACCAAGCTCTCTCTCTTATACCAATATGGTTATGATGCTGCAGATAAAGTTAAATCATAGCATAATTCTTAATACTCAATATTATTATAAATAACTCCTGGATGCAGATACATTTGTCTTCAGTTGGTATTTGCATTCAGTCAAACCAGTACATGAATCAGTCAATAAATAATGTAGAATTCAGTAAATTTGCTAGTGAAAAATCCAGACAGAGTATTCAAAGGGGTAGGGTTCAAGATTTGTCATGACGTAACTACAAAAACCTTTAATGCCAAAACATAAGTGAAAAAATAAAAAGTTATTGAAGCAAATTGTTAGAACCACTTGCCAACGGCCAGGTCCCAGTTTCAAATGCCAGACATGGTGGTAACACAAACTCACCAGCCTTTCCATAGCGCCTCACATCCATCACTAGGTGTCCAGTTTCTTGAGCCTTAGCCATGGCTTCCTCCCACTCTTTTGAATCGTTATATGAAAACTTGGTGTTGTTAATAGCAATAATTTCATCATCTACTTGTAGCTGAGAAAATTCTGCTGGGCTACCTAAAAATGCAAAATAAATTAACCAATTGGGGAAAAAAATCCCACATGTTCTATTAGTTGCTGCTTTGAACTTAAGAAAAATGACTCTGAATTTCAATTAACCATTTCTCTCTTTTTCAGGTGGAGGTCACTATTTTTTTTAATACCAAATATCTGAGTACAACATACAAAGCATTAGAGGTGTTTTTTGAAGTTCTATAGAATGCATCTTCATTAAAGGAAAAATGATAAACTCATCTATTCAATAAGACTTCTTTATTAACCTCCCAAGGACAAAAAAATTTAAGTTACTCTTAAATTTGAAATATGAAACATACTGCATTTTAATTGAGCTTCCAATTCAGATACATTCTGGAATGAAGCAGAAGAAAACACAGCTATTTAAAACTGCTTAAAATTACTCCATAACTAAAATACCATTATCTAATTAAGGCAATCTTAAGATGTAAAAGAACTAACTGGTGTTAACATGCAATTTTATATAGCTAAAATATGTAAAAAAAACTAAAAAATAAAAGTAAAAATAAAGGAACTCCTGTTTTTAATTTTAGGCCTTGTAATGTTTTGCAAAGAGTTCCTGGGCTTGACATGGTATAGACCTGGACAGGGGAGGGGTAATCCTTTTGCAGAAGTCCTGAAGCACCCTGAAAACTTCATGGGCAATAGGTATATTAGAACACTCAAAAAAAATCAACTTATTAAATAGCACATATATATCTACTACAAAGCATGGCTGATCATGGAAAGCTCTTTCTGAATCTTTACTTAAGCGCCGTTTGTTAGCATTTCCAAATATAAAGTCCAAAATGGATAAAATCTGTAAAATCACAAAATTAAGACTCTTCAAAACTAAAAGTAATTAGTCAAGGAGAATAAACAATATGGAATTTGTAACCCCAACTAATAATCTCAGGAAAGAGGATGTATTTTCTGGCCTTATGGTTGCATTTTTCACGTTTTCTCCTCCTATATCAAATACACTAATTTCTGTGGTCCCCAACCCCACAATGAAGGATAGAAAAGGAGAAGAAAATTCAGTAGAGCTAAACACATAATTTACCTGCTTCAACTGATGCTACGAAGATCCCAGGAATATCCCATTTTATTGTAAACCCAAAGTCAAGACTCTTCCCAGGCGTCTGGTTTATGCTGATTCTCATATCACTGAACTGATCCTGAAAACAAAACATGAAACGCTGGTATCCGGTGTCCCTGGCACCCACATGGAGGAAAGTCTATCCATGAAAGGAGGGAGACTGCACGCTAGGTAGACTTGAATCATTTCATGATAAACTAGAAGCTTCATTCTTTCTTCCTTAGGTTGGTAAAACTTTCATTTATATAAATAGCACCAAGTTTATTATTTTTCTGCTAAACTAAGGGAAATCTTATTGTCATTACATGTTTTTCTTCATATTAATACTTTAATTCAGTTGGCCGTGGATAAGCTTAGGTTTCTGCCCACTGTACAATTGGGTCTAACTTATAGGCCAGGCCATTTATTCACTGCCCAGGAATAAAGTACAGTGATTTAAATCATTTATTTAAAAAGGACCACCATACTTTTAAACACCTACTCCCAATACTTGGCATATTGATCTGAATAACTTCAAGTGGTTCACAGACACATAATTTAGCCTCCAGTGGCATCCATCTAGGACTGGTACCACTCCCTAGTGGGCATGTGAAGTTTGGCAAGGCATTTTTGCTTGCCCAAATGCCACATGAAGATTTAGCGTTAAAGGCATAGCTGCTCTACATGCTGCAAAATGCAGAACTATGTCACCTGTAAGGAATTACTCCTTAAGATACCAAGAGGGTCCCTATTGACACATCCTGACCTACAGTCCATGACTTCTTCAAAATGACATCAGCTC